>NC_000003.12:109463149-109766180 GCF_000001405.40 Homo sapiens
TTTTTATATATTCATGTGTATGAACCAGTACAGTTATTATCAAACTGTTTTTCAATGGCGATAATAATGAGCTGCTCTGGGATTTGAGAAAAGAATGATATGGATTTCAAGAAAATAGGAAATTACTAGGTAGAAGAAGTTAAAACTCTGCATACAAAAATGCTGAGATGGAACTGAGGGAATTGGTCATCTCTCTTTATCACCAATAGAACTGCACTGAGACTCTCTATACGATCAAAGGTGATGTTTAAGCTCCAGGTAATGCCTAGTTGCTTTCACAGGTGATTTAATGCAACATAGATAAATCATAAGAGAAACACAACATTGTCCTTTGGGGTTGATTCTGAGGAAGAAATAGGGAATACAATAAAGATAGTGAAGGGAAAGCTGAAATGCTATATACTAAAAAAATGGGGATTAAAGTTCTGCTCAGGTATTCTACCACCCACTACAGTCTAGTACAAAATTCCATTTCCAAATGAAATGATTCATATACAGGCCACTAGAGTAATGAAGAATACTTCCTTTGACTAATACAACATAGACCATTGGATCCTAGACATCATATTCTGAATTTCTCATTTCACCAATGTGGAAACTGAGTCTACAAGATATTGTTAATAATAATTCACACAATAAAAGGACAATTTTCCTGAAAAATTATCTCTACTAGATTTTTCCCATCAGCATAAAAGGTGCTGTTATTTCTCTTTTCTTAAAACACATACACATACCTTTTAGTTCTAGTTCTCCCCATAGGTTTATAGATAAACTGGAAATAGTTCCTGGGTTCTGACGTCCTAATTCTATACGTAATATTTCATTTTACTTCACCACTTGTCTGTCTAATGCAAACCTCAAACTTAACATGGCCATAACAGAACTCTTAATCTTTCTCCCCAGTCTTCACGTCCATCTCTTCACACTCTAGTGACAACATCATTCTTGCAGTTGCTTAGACCAGATACATTTGGGTTATCCTTGGCTCTTTCTCACTTGATATCTTTTCCACTGGGCAACCCTGCACTATGTACCTTTCCAATATTCTAGAAACGTTTTGCCACCTTTGCTATAACCATCCTGGTCTGAGCCACCATCATTTCTCACTGCAATTGAAAAGCCTGTTAACACATTCTCTCTATCCATTACAGTCTAGTCTCAACACAGCTGTCAGTGATCTTTACAAAAGTCATATTCTTTCACTGCTTTTGCTCAAGAGTCTCTAATGACCTTTTACCTCACACTGAGTAAAAGGCAAAGTCATTATAATGATCTACAAGGCCCTGTTTTATCTGACTCTTGTTACTTTTCTGACCTCATCTGCTTCTCTCCCCATCTAATTACTGTCCTTTGGTCACACTTACCTCCCTGCTTATCCTAGACTGCTTGCTCCTTCTTCTTACACACATTCACTCCTCTATCTCTGGTTCTTTTTCTCCAAATACCTGGTTGGATGTCTTCCGTACTTCTCTTGTCCTCGTCCATCCACTACTCAGTGAAGCCCTACCTGATTGCTCTGTTTAAAATCTTCATCCCTATCACCTATCAATAGTTAGCTCTCTCTTCTACTTTAGTTTTTTTCCATTAAATTTATCATCTTCTGCTACATAAAACTCAAAAAAATGAAATCAGTAATCAACTGAAAAAAATCCACTGATATGGCAGCTTTATGTGATTAAATAAAGAATTTGTTTACTTGCTGTATTTCCCACTGGAATGTAAACTCTATACTTCTCATTAGTGACTGGTATAAAATAAGCATTCAATAACTGTTGGCTGAATTAAATACCTAGGAAAACATTAACCAAAGGAGGTGAAAGATCTCTACAAGGAAAACTACAAAACACTGATGAAAGAAATCATAGATGACACAAACAAATAGAAAAAATCCCATGCTTATGAACTGGAAGCATCAATATCATTAAAGTGACAATAGTGCCCAGTGCAATCTACAGATTCAATGCAATCCTTAGAAAATTACTAATGTCCCAAATTGACAAATGGGATCTAATTAAACTAAAGAGCTTTTGCACAGCAAAAGAAACCACCATCAGAGTGAACAGGCAACCTACAGAATGGGAGAAAATTTTCACAACCTACTCATCTGACAAAGGGCTAATATCCAGAATCTACAATGAACTCAAACAAATTTACAAGAAAAAAACAAATAACCCCATGAAAAAGTGGGCAAAGGATATGAACAGACACTTCTCAAAAGAAGACATTTATGCAGCCAAAAAACACATGAAAAAATGCTCATCATCACTGGCCATCAGAGAAATGCAAATCAACACCACAATGAGATACCATCTCACACCAGTTAGAATGGCAATCATTAAAAAGTCAGGAAACAACAGGTGCTGGAGAGGATGTGGAGAAATAGGAACACTTTTACACTGTTGGTGGGACTGTAAACTAGTTCAACCATTGTGGAAGTCAGTGTGGCGATTCCTCAGGGACTAGAACTGGAAATACCATTTGACCCACCCATCCCATTACTGGGTATATACCCAAAGGATTGTAAATGATGCTGCTATAAAGACACATGCACATGTATGTTTATTGCAGCACTATTCATAATAGAAAAGACTTGGAACCAACCCAAATGTCCAACAATGATAGACTGGATTAAGAAAACGTGGCACATATACACCATGGAATACTATGCAGCCATGAAAAATGATGAGTTCATGTCCTTTGTAGGGACATGGATGAAGCTGGAAACCATCATTCTCAGCAAACTATCACGAGGACAAAAAACCAAACACCACGTTCTTACTCATAGGTGGAAATTGAACAATGAGAACACATGGACACAGGAAGGGGAACATCACACACTGGGGCCTGTTGTGGGGTGGGGGGAGGGGGAGGGATAGCATTAGGAGATATACCTAATGTTAAATGATGAGTTAATGGGTGCAGTACACCAACGTGGCACATGTATACATATGTAACAAACCTGCACATTGTGCACATGTACCCTAAAACTTAAAGTATAATTAAAAAAAAATAAAGTTACTAACATCATTCTTCATAGAATTAGAGAAAATTATTCTAAAGTTTATATGAAACCAAAAAAGGGCCAGAATAGCAAAAGCAGTACTAAGCAAAAAGAATAAAGCCAGAGACATCACGTTACCTGACTTCAGATTATACTACAAGGCCGTAGTTACTAAAACAGCATGGTACTATTCAAAAATAGACACATAGATCAATGAAACAGAACAGAGAACCTGGAAATAAAGCCACGTATCTACAACCAGCTGATTTTTCACAATGTCAACAAAAATAAACAGTTACAAAAGGACACCCTATTCAATAAATGGTGCTGGGAAGATTGGCAGAAGAATAAAACTGGACCCCTATCTCTCACCATATACAAAAATTAATTCAAGATGGATTAAAGATCTAAATATAAGATCTGAAACTATAAAAATTCTAGAAGAAAACCTAGGAAAAATTCCTAGACATTGGCCTGTGCAAAGAATTTATGACAAAGATTCCCAAAACAAATGCAACAAAAACAGAAAGAGAAACGGAATTTAAAAAGCTTCTGCACAGCAAAATAAATAACCAATAGAGTAAACAGACAACCTGCAGAATTGGGGAAAATATTTGCAAATTATGCCTCTGACAAAGGACTAATATGCAGAGTCTACAAGGAACTCAGTTAGCAACAAGAACAAAAAACAACAAAACCAATAATCCCCTTAAGAAAGAGCAAAGGATGAGAATAGACATTTCTCAAAAGAAGACATACAAATGTCCAACAGACATATGAAAAAATACTCGACATTAATCATCAGAGAAATGTAAATTAGAACCACAATGAGATATCATCTCACATCAGTCAGAATGGCTATTATTAAAAAGTGAAAAACAACAGATGTTGGCATGGATGCAGAAAACAGTGAAACCTTATACACTGTTAATGAGAATGTAAATTAGTACAACATCTGTGAAAAACAGGATGGCAATTTCTCAAAGAACTAAATATAGAACTGCCATTTGACCTAGCAGTGCCTCTGGATATCTACCCAAAAAAAGAAGTTATTATATAAAAAAACACCTGCACTTTTATGTTTACTGTGGTGCTATTCACAACAGCAAAGTCATGGAATCAACCTAAGATCTATCAACATATGATTGGATAAGGAAATGTAATATATATATATATATATATATACATACACCATGAAATACCATATGGTTGTAAAAAAGAATGAAATCATGGTCTTTGCAGCAACATGGATGGAGCTAGAGGCCATTATCCTAAGTGAATTAATATGGAAACAGAAGATCAAACACCGCATGTTCTCACTTTTAAGTGAGAGCTAAACAGTGGGCACACAAGGAAACAAAGATGGAAATAATAGATACTGGGGACTCCAAAAATGGGAGAGGTTGAGAGTGGGGGCGAGGGTTAAAAGATTGTACTTATTACAATGTGTACTATTTGGGTGAGGGGTATACTGGAAGCCCAAACCTCATCATTATGCAATATATCCGTGTAACAAATTTGCACATGTACCCCTCAATCCAAATTAAAAAAAAATCAAAAGCCAAATTATTGGCTAAACGGCTGAATGAATAAATGGCCAATCTGGAGACTTCTATCATGTAGAAAAGAAAGAAAATAAATTCAGTAGTAAAGCTGGACATAATTCATATTGAGACTTTTTGATAAATGATTTGAATACCTTGGAAAGAAGAGATTCTTGTCCTGAAGTAACCTATTTTATTTTCTTCAAGACTATGGCATCTTTCTCATTATCTGACTTTTAAAGAATTAATTCTCCAAAGTTTATGGGTTTAGATGTCAGTGAGGGATGGATTTCAGATGTCAGGGCAGAGTGCTGGTTCGCTTATTAAATCCATTCATTTCTTGTTCCATTGCAATAGAGCCCTGATTTTAAACAGTGAGGCAAAATGTACAGCTAAGACACCAAATTTTATAGCTATTGATAACTAGACTTGGCCAATGAAATATAAGTGGAAGATGTTTCCAAGAGCTCTTTAAATCAAGCTACCTTGGCTGGAGACACTCTGTTTGCATTTCTCCTCCCTTCCCCCTTTTTTCCAATCTAAAGTTCAACAAATATTTCCAGGAGTTTCAGTAATCCTACTGAATTAGGATGTAACTTGAGGATGAAAGCCTTTTCTCAAGTGGCAGAATACAAAGATGAAATAAATATGGTCTAATGATTGATGTCACAGAGCTGCCATTCACATTCTGGACTGTCTACATCTGGACATGTCTTATATGCAAAAAAAAGCCATATATTTTTCTCAGCTACTGTTTTTGATTTTTGTTTTGAGACAGGGTCTCACTCTGTAACACAGGCCGGAGTGCAGTGGCATAATCACGGCTCACTGTGGCCTTGACCTCCCCAGGCTCAGGTGATCCTCCTGCTTCAGTCTCCTGAGTAGTTGGCACTACAGGTGCATACCACCACACTCAGTGATATGGTTTGGCTGTGTCCCCACCCAAATTTCATCTTGAATTGTAGTTCCCACAATCCTCAAGTGTCGTGGGAGGGACCCTGTTGGAGGTAATTGAATCATGCGGGTGGGTTTACCCATGCTGTTCTCATGATAGTCAATAAGTCTCATGAGATCTGATGATTTTATAAAGGGCAGTTCCCCTGCACATGCTCTCTTGCCTGCCTCTGTGTAAGATGTGCCTGTCTTCTTTTTTTGCCTAACACTATGATTGTGAGGTCTCCCCAGCCATGTGGAACTGTAAGTCTATTAAACCTCTTTTTCTTTATAAATTACCCAGTCTTGGGTATTCTTTCATAGTATGAAAATGGACCCAAGTGGTCAATTTTCTGATTGACCAAGTACTGGTCAAGTGGGATGCTGCTGTAAAGATACACAACAATGTGGAAATGACTTTGGAACTGGGTAACAGGCAGAGGTTGGAGCAATTTGGAGGGCTTAGTAGAAGATAGGAAAATGTGGGAAAGTTTGGAACTTTCTAGAGGCTTGGAGGACTCAGAAGACAGGAAGATGTGGGAAAGTATGGAACTTCCTAGAGACTTGTTGGGTGGCTTTTACCAAAATGCAGATAGTGATATGAATAATAAAGTCCAGGCTAAGTGGTCTCAGATGAAGATGAAGAACTTGTTGGGAACTGGAGTAAAGGTCACTCTTGCTATGCAAAGAAACTGGTGTCATTTTGCCCTTGCCCTAGAGATCTGTGGAACTTTGAACTTGAGAGAGATGATTTGGCGTATCTGGTGGAAGAAATGTCTAAGCAGCAAAGTGTTCAAGAGGAAGCAGAACATAAAAGTTTGAAAAATTTGCAGCCTGACGATGCAGTAGAAAAGAAAAACCCATTTTCTGGGGAGAAGTTCAAGCTGGTAGCAGAAATTTTCATAAGTAATGAGGAGCCAATTGCTAATCACCAAGACAATGGGGAAAATGTCTGCAGGACATATCAGAGAACTTTGTGGCAGTCCCTCCCATTACAGGCCCAGAGGCCTAGGAGGAAAAAAGGGTTTCCTGGGCTGGGTCTGGGGCCCCCCCTGCTACATGCAGCCTCAGGACTTGGTGCCCTGTGTCCCAGCTGCTTTAGCTGTGGCTAAAAGGGGCCAAGGTACTGCTCAGGCTGTGGCTTTGGAGGGTGCAAGCCCCAAGCCTTGACAGCTTCCACATGGTACTGGTCCTGTGGGTGGGCAGAAGACAAGAATTGAGGTTTGGGAACCTCCACCTAGATTTCAGAGGATGTATAGAAATGCCTGGATCTCGAGGCAGAAATTGTTTGCAGGGGCAGTACGAACCTGGAGGACCTCTGCTAGGACAGTGCAGAAGGGAAATGTGGGGTGGGAGCCCCCAAACAGAGTCCCCACTGGGGCACTGCCTAGTGGAGCTGTGAGAAGAGGGTGACTGTTCTCCAGACCCCAAAATGATAGATCCACCCACAGCTTGCACTGTGCACCTGGAAAAGCTGCAAACACTCAATGGCAGCCCATGAAAGCAGCCAGGAGGGGGACTGTGCCCTGCAAAGCTACAGGGGTGGAGCTGCCCATGACCATAGAAACCTACCTCTTGCATCAGTATGACCTGGATGTGAAACATGGAGTCAAAGGAGATCATTTTGGAGCTTTAAGATTTGACTGCTCCTCTGGATTTCAGACTTGCGTGGGGCCTGTAGCTTCTTTGTTTTTGCCAATTTCTCCCACTTGGAATGGTTGTATTTACCCAATGTTTGTACCCCCATTGTTATCTAGGAAGTAACTAACTTGCTGTTGATTTTTCAGGCTCATAGGTGGAAGACATTTGCCTTGTCTCAGATGAGACTTTGGGTTGTGGACTTTTGAGTTAATGCTGAAATGGGAAGGGCCAGGGGTAGAATGATGTGGTTTGGCTGTGTCCCCACCCAAATCTCATTTTGAATTGTAGCTCCCATAATCCCCACATGTTGTGGGAGGGACCTGGTTGGAGGTAACTGAATCATGAGGGCAGGTTTTTCCATGCTATTCTTATGATACTGAATAAGTCTCATGATATCTGATAGTTTTATGAAAGGCAGTTCCCCTGCACACACTCTCTTGCCTGCTGCCATGTAAGACGTGCCTTTCCTACTCCTTTGCCTTCCACCATGATCATGAGGCCTTCCCAGCCATGTCGAACTGTGGGTGTATTAAACCTCTTTTTCTTTATAAATTATCCACCCTTGGGTATTTCCTGATAGCAGTATGCAAATGGACTAATACACCTGCCTATTTTTTTTTTTGTATTTTTTGTAGAGATGGGGTTTCTCCATGTTGCCCAGGCTGGTCTGGAACTCCTGGGCTCGGTGATCGGCCTGCCTTGGCCTCCCAAAGTGCTAGGATTACAGGAGTGAACCACCATTGGTTTAATATGTTTATTGTCTTTTTTTTCTTTTTCTTTTTTTAATAGTGTGAGGCAGCTCTGTTACTCATAGCTGCTTGCAGCTCTTTATTTTTTATTTTTAAATTTTTTTGTTATTTAGTTTTTATTTCATAATCATAAACTTAACTCTGCAATCCAGCTAGGCCTGGAAGGGAACAAGGAAAACAGGGAACAAAAAGGGAACTGAAGCGAGAGCACAAAGATTCTAGGATACTTTGAGCAAATGGGGTGGAGGGGTGTTTGCCTGAGCTACAGAAAGAATGGGCTGGTGGTTAAGATGAAACACAAATCAAACTTATTAGAGTTGTCCACAGTCTGCAATAGTGATCTTCTTGCTGGTCTTGCCATTTCTGGACCCAAAGCGCTCCATGGCTTCCACAATATTCTTGCCTTCTTTTACCTTGCTGAAGACCATGTACTTGCCATCCAGCCACTCAGTCTTGCCAGTGCAGATGAAAAACTGGGAACCATTGGTGTTGGGTCCACCAGTTTCCATGGACAAGATGCCACGACCTGTATGCTTTAGGATGACGTTCTTGTCATCAAATTTCTCCCCACAGATGGATTTGCCACCAGTGCCATTATGGCGTGTGAACTTGCCACACTGACACATAAACCCTGGAATAATTCTGTGAAAGCAGGAACCCTTATAACCAAATCCTTTCTCTCCAGTGCACAAAGGTTTTCTGCTGTCTTTGGAATCTTGCAGACAAGATTCCAAAGGAGACGTGACCCAAGGGCTCACCATCAACAGCGATGTCAAAGAACATGGTGAGGTTGACCGTGGCTGATAGTATGGGGCTCCCAGTGGTGGTGGCGTCTGCAAAGCCTGCAGTTCTTAACAAAAAGAATGGTGTTGTCATGTTAACAAGAAAATTCAAAAGGTATACCTAATAGAAAATATGAAACATTTAGAAGAAATTCTGCCTTACCTATTTTTGTACATAAGTCATACCTAATACTAAAATATCTCAAGAAAATGGTTGGAGAAACTCCTAATTACAGATAAGTTTCTAACTTACATATGAAAAGATCAATTTATGGCATAGCTTCTATTCTTTTTCTTTTCACAGCTTTATTGATGTATGTTTTATATAGCATAAAATTCATCCATTTTAAGTGTACAATTCAATTTAGTATATTCACAGAGTTGTGCCACCATTTCCAATTTAATTTTAGAACTTTTTTTTTTTGAGATGGAGTTTCGCTCTTGTTGCCCAGGCTGGAGTGCAATGGCGTGATCTTGGCTCACTACAACCTCTGCCTCCTTGGTTAAAGCGATTCTCCTGCCTCAGCCTCCTGAGTAGCTGGGATTACAGGCATGTACCACCATGCCTGGCTAATTTTGTATTTTTAGTAGAGATGGGGTTTCTCCAACACTCTAAAGATAAACCTTATACCCTTTACAAACCTATTTTCCATTTCTCACCCTTACCTTTAAACCCTTTGCCTCCAGCCCTGGACCTAGCCATAGCTCCTGACGAGGACTAATTTACTTTTGGTCTGTATGGATTTGCCTATTCTGGACATTTTACATACACAAGTCCATATCATATGTAGTATTTTTGTGTCTGACTTCTTTTTCTTAGAATGTGTTTTCAAGGTTTATCCATGTAGAATGTAACAATACTTCACTTTTTATGGCCAAATAATATTCCACCGTATGGATGTATGACATTTTGTTTGCCTATTCACCTGCTGATGGGTGCTTAGGTTGTTTCTGCATTTTGGCTATTATGAATAATGCTTCTGTGATTGTTCATGCATAAGTCTCTGTGTGGACAAGTGCTTTCATTTCTCTTGGGAGTTTTCATTTCTCTTAGGAGTGGATTTGCTGGTCACATGGTTTAACATTTTGTTTATGTTTAACATTTTGAAAAATTGCCAAATTGTTTTCCAAAATGGCTTCGCTGTTTTACAATCTCAACAGCAATGTATGAGGGTTCCCATTTTCTACATTCTCTACACTTGTTATTATTTCTCTCTGTCTTTTTTTTGTAAATAGTCATCCTAGGGAGATTGAAATGTAATCCCACTGTGGTTTTGATTTGCATTTATCTAATGACTAATGATATTGAGCATCTTTTCATGTGTTTATTGGCCATTTATGTATCTTCTTTGGAGAAATGTTTATTTAATCCCTTTGCTCATTTTTAAAATTGGGTTATTTATTTTCCTATTGTTGAGTTGCATTTTTCTATATTCTAGATGATTGCTTTATCAGATATATGATTTAGAAGTATATTCTTTGGTTCTGTGGGTTGTCTTTTCAATTTTTTTTCTGTCCCAACTTTTATTTTAAGTCCAAGGGGGTATATGTGCAGATCTGTTACATGGGTAAATTGTGTGTCATGGGGGTTTAGTGTACAGATAATTTTGTCACCCAAGTAATCAGCATAATACCCGATAATTGGTTTTTCAGTCTTCTGCCTCCTCCCACACTCCACCCTCAAATACGCCCTGGTGTCTATTGTTCCCTTCTTTGTGCCCATGTGTACTCAATGTTTACCTCCTACTCATAAATGAGAATATATGGTATTTTGGTTCCTGTTCCTGCAATTATTCACTTAAGATTACAGCCTCCATCTCCATCTATGTTGCTGAGAAAGCCATGATCTCATTTTTATAGCTACGTAGTATTCCATGGTGTATATATACCACATTTTCTTTATCTAGTCTGCTGTTGATGGGCATCTAGGTGGATTCCATGTCTTTGCTATTGTGAGTAATGCAGTGAACATATGCATGCATTTGTCTTTATGGTAGAACAATTTATATTCCTTTGGGTGTATACCCAATAATGGAATTGCTGGGTCAAATGGTACTTCTATTTTAAGTTATTTTAAAAATCCCCAGACTGCTTTCCACAGTGGCTGAACTAATTTACATTCCCACCAGCAGTATATAAGCATACCCTTTTCTCCTAGGATCTTTATAGTTTTAGGTTTCACATTTAAGTCTTCAATCCATTTTGAGTTGATTTTTGTATATGGTGAAAGGTAGGGGTCCAGTTTCAATCTTCTGCATATTCTTAGCCAATTATCCCAGCAGCATTTATTAAATAGGGAGTTGTTTCCCAATTGCTTTTGTTGACTTTATCCAAGATCAGATAGTTTTAGGTGTGTGGCCTTATTTCTGGGTTTTCTAGTCTGTTCCATTGGTCTATGTGTCTATTTTTGTACCAGTGTAACATACTGTTTTAGTTACTGTAGCCTTGTAGTATAATTTGAAGTTGGGTAGTGTGATGCCTCTGGCTTTATTTTTTTTTCTTAGGATTGCTTTGGCTATTCAGGCTCTTTTTTGGTTGCAAATGAATGTTAGAATTTTTTTTACCCTAATTCTGTGAACATGTCATTGGTAGTTTGATAAAAATAGCATTGAATCCGTAAATAGTTTTGGGCAGTATGGCCATTTTAACAACATTGATTCTCCTATACATGAGTATGTAATGTTTTTCCATTTGTTGGTGTAATCTCTGATTTTTTTAAGCAGTGTTTTGTAATTTCCATTGTAGAGATCTTTCACCTCTCTGGTTAGCTGTATTGCTAGATGCTTTATTCTTTTGTGGCTACTGTGAATGGGATTGCATTCTTTTTTTGTTTTTTGAGATGGAGTCCCCCTCTGTCACCCACGCTGGAGTGCAGTGGTGCAGTCTTGGCTCACTGCAACCTCTGACTCCTGGGTTCAAGCGATTCTCTAGCCTCAGCCTCCCAAGCAGCTGGGATTACAGGCAGACCACCAAACCCAGCTAATTTGTTTGTATTTTTAGCAGAGATGGGGTTTCGCCATGTTGGCCAGGCTGGTCTCTAGCTCCTGACCTCAGGTGATCCACCCGCCTCAGCCTCCCAAAGTGCTGGGAATACAGGCATGAGCCACCATGCCTGGCCAGGGATTGCATTCTTGATTTAGCTCTCAGCTTGGATGTTATTGATTGGCATACAGAAATGCTACTGATTTTTGTACATTGATTTTATATCTTAAAATTTACTGAAGTTGGTTATAAGATCTAGAAGCCTGTGGGCAGAGACCATCAGGTTTTCTAGGTATAGTATCATATTGTTTGACTTCCTCTGTTCCTATTTGGATGCTTTTTTTTTTTTCTTTGATGGGATTTCACTCTTGTTGCCCAGGCTAGAATGCAGTGGCATGATCTCGGCTCACCGCAATCTCTACCCACCAGGTTCAAGAGATTCTCCTGCCTCAGCCTCCCAAGTAGCTGGGATTACAGGCACCCACCACCACACCTGGATAATTTTTGTACTTTTAGTAGAGGTGGGGTTTCACCATGTTGACCAGCTGGTCTCAAACTCCAGACCTCAGGTGATCCACCTGCCTCGGCCTCCCAAAGTTCTGGGATTACAGGCGTGAGCCACTGCGCCCAGCCTGGATGCCTTTTATTTCTTTATCTTGCCTGATTGCTCTGACTAGGACTTCTTTTCTTCTCTTTTTACATTTTTTTATTAAAAAAAAATAGAGACAAGATCTCACTATGTTGCCCAGGCTGGTCTCAAACTCCTGAGCTCAAGTGATCTTCCTGCCTCAGCCTCCCAAAGTGTTGGGATTACAGGCATGGGCCACTGTCACTGGCCAGGAGTTCCTCTTTTCAGTTTTGTATGCACAAAAGTTCTACATCTTAATGAAGCTTAATTTATCTATATATTTTTTGTTTCATGTGCTTTTGGTGTTTTATCTAAGAAATCAGCCATTGCCTAATCCAATGTCTCAAAGATTTACTCCTATGTTTTCCTTTAGGTGTTTTATAATTTTACCTCTTACACTTAGATCTATTAGCCATTTTGAATTAATATTTGTGTATATTGTGAGGCAGAGATGTCCAGACTCATTCTTTTTCATGTGGATATCCAGTTGTCTGAACATCATTTTTTAAAATACTCTTTTTTTCCCACTGAATTGTTTTTATATCCTTGTCAAAAATCAATTGACAATAAATGTGAGAGTTTATGTATGGACTCCTAATCCTATTCCATTGATTTATATTCTGTTTCTTTGTCAGTATTGCACTGTCTTGATTACTGTAGCTTTATATTGTGCAAAAGTGATTGCGGTTTTTGCCATTATTTTCAATTGTAAAACCTGCAATTACTTTTGCATCAACCGAATAGTAGATTTGGAAATCAGGAAGTGTGTCTTCCAGCTTTTTTATTTTTCGATATTCTTTTGGCTATTCTTGATCCCTCGCATTCCCATATAAATTTTAGTGACAGCTTGTCAATTTTTGAATTAAAAAACAGTTGGAATTTTGATAGATATTTTGTTGAATTTGTAGATTAATTTGGGGAGTATTGCTATCTTAACAATTTAAGTTTTCTGATTCATGAATATGACATGTCTATTTATGTAGTTCTTGTTTAGTTTCTTTCAACAGTATTTGTAGTGCTCAGTGTACAAGGCCTGAGATTTTTTTTTTGGCTAAAATTCTCCTAGGTATTTTATTTGCTGCTAATATAAATGGGATCATTTTTAAGTTTCATTTTCAGATTGTTCATTACTTGTAGATAGAAATACAATCGATTTTTGTATATTGACCTTGTATCCTGGCAAGTTTTTGAGCTCATTTATTAGTTCTACAAGTTTTAAAATCTGATTCCTTAGAGTTTTCTATATACAAATATAGATAGCTTGCAAATAAAGATAGTTTCATATTTCTTTTTAAATCTTTTTTCTTGCACAGTTGCTTTCCTAAAGCCTCAAGAACAGTGTGGATTAAAGTGGTGAGTGCAGACATCCTTATCTTGTTCCTGTTCTTAGAGAAATGGCACTCAGTTTTTCTTCATTAAGCATGATATTAGCTGTGGTTTTCCATAGATACCCCTAATCAGACTGAGAAAATTCCTTTTTATTTCTAATTTTTTAAAAGTGTTTTTATCATGAAAATATGTTGGATTTTTTCAACTGTGTTTTCTTTTTTCTTTTCTTTTTTTTCTCGAGACAGGGTCTTGTTCTGTCACCTAGGTTGGAGTGCAGTGGCTTGATCATGACTCACCGCAGCCTCAACGCCCGAGTAAAGTTGGAACTTTAGGCAAATGCCACTATGTCTGGTTAATTTTTGAATTTTTTTGTAGAGTCAGGGTCTTGCCGTGGTTGCCCAGGCTGGTCTCGAACTCCTGGGCTCAAGCTGTGTACTGACTTTGGCCTCCCAAAGTGCTGGGATTATAGGCATGAGCCACTGCACCCAGCTCAACTGCTTTTTCTATGTCTTTTGAGAAAATCCTGGTTTTTATTTTCTATTTTTCTACTAATATGGTATATTACATTGATTGATTTTTGTAGCCTAAACCACTAACCTTATTCCTGGGATAAATCCACCTTGATCATGATGTATAATTCTTTTATATTTTGCTGAATATTGCTTGCTAGTATTTTGTTAATAATTTTTGTGTCTATATTTATAAGGGGTATTGGTTCATTGCTTTCATAATCCTTTTTGTAAAACATCATTTTTTTTTTTCTTTATGAGACAGGGTCTCCCTTCCTCACCCAGGCTGAAGTGCAGTGGTGCGACTTTGGCTCATTGCAACCTGCGCCTCCTGGGTTCAAGTGATTCTCTTGCTTCAGCCTCCAGCGTGGCTGGGACTACAGGTGTGTGCCACCACACCTGGCTAATTTTTGCATTTTTAGTAGAGATGGGTTTTTGCCATGTTGACGAGGCTGGTCTTAAACTCCTGGCCTCAAGTGATCTGTCCGCCTTGTCCTCTCAAAGTGTTGGGATTACAGGAGTGAGCCACTGTGCCCGGTGGAAAAAATTAAAAAAACTCTTTGAAAAAATTTCAGACTTAAAAGGACATAGAATCCCCGTACACTTTTCATGCAGCTCCATCAAATGTTAGCGCCTAAACATACTTGCTTTAGCATTATCTATCTGTCTGTCTGTCTATCTATCTATCTATCTATCTATCTATCTATCTATCTATCTATCTAATTTATGTGTGTGTGTGATTTTTTTTTTGAATTTTTTTTTCTCAAATCACAATTTGAGCCAATTTGGACACCTTTAATGTTCCGGATATGCCCAGCTGTCTTCCACATTGGGAACATCTATTTATATAGGCATCTTTTTCTGAAGATCTTTCACTTCCTATTTTCAAGAAGTAACCTCTTCTCATCCTCCCAGTTTCAGTCAGTGATACCTCATCAGTGTAATCTTCCAATACCCCACCTGTGTAAGGCCCACCATTCTTTTCTGTCCCTGCACCCTGATGATTTCCCCTATGAAGATTTTTGCAATTTGAAAATCTGTATTTATTTATTAGTTACCTTAATTGTTCTTTGTTTTTCTCACTGGTTTATAAACTCTGAGAGGAGGGTGTCATGTTTCTTCTATGCACCATGGCATAATCAATGTTTAGCACAGTGCCTTGCATGCAGTAATTATTCAAGAGATATTTATTGAAGAATAAATTAATAAAATATGGAATAAATGCTTAGATAACTAGTATATGTTTTCAGGGCTTGATTTTTCTGTGAGTTGATTCAAGCAGTATATGTTTCTCTCTGGAAGGAGAGTGAAAAACCAATTAAATGTTATTCAGTATAGTTTGAGATGCTTTTAAATTAAATATTAGATGCCAGTACTGCTGTAGTTTGGATCTTTGTCCCTTCCAAATCTCATGCTGAAATTTGATCCCCAGTGTTAGAATTGATGCCTAATGGGGGTGTTTGGGTCATGGGAGCAGATCCCTTATGAATGGCTTGATGCTGTAGTAGTGGTAATGAGCATGCTGTCATTCTGTTAGTTTCCCCAAGAGCTGATTGTTAAAGAGTGTGGCACCTCCCTCCTCTCTTTTGCTTCCTCTCTCACCATGCAGTCTCTGCACACATGGGCTCCTCTTCACTTTCTGCCATGAGTGGAAGCAGCCTGTGGCCCTTACCAGATGCAGATGCTCAATCTTGAACTTTCCCAGCCATGAAAATCATGACCCAAATAAACCTGTTTTCTTTCAAATTATTCGGTCTCAGGTATTTCTTTATAACAACCCTAAATAGACTTAGACAATGACTTATTTCACTTTGAAAGAAATCAAAATAGGGAGTAAGAATTTGTTTACAATTGAAATAATACAAAAAGGATAATTGTGATTTAAAATTTGGGGAAGTAAGGAAATAATATATACCAAAACTAAGATATTTAAAGTTACTATAGAAAAAATGCAAATAAATGAGTAAACAAAGAAAAGAAATAAAACCAAAACCAAAAGCCCTCTATAAACAAGAGGGGATGGGGGAGGGGTGCATTTTGTTCCTCTAAACTTAGTATCTACCTTTAAGGAAAACATATTTACTAAAGATTTTTCAGGGCCTATATTAAGGATTCGATAATATCGACAAAGAATGGCAAATATGTTTATTTTGTTTTGGTCTGTTGATTATTTTAGCAGGTATGATTTTTAGAAAATTGTGAGTCACTTTGAGGTAGGCAGTTAGAGGCCTGGGTACCAACTGGTATTTAACAGAAACAGAACGACATACAGGAGGAAAAGTTATTCTTTAGTATAGCTTAAGGTTAAAGTAGAGTTGGAATATATGTAGAAAAGTCCAGTTTACAAAGCCAAAAATGACGACTGTGGTGCCATAAGCATTGAATATCTGACAAAAAGAAAGCTATTTCAGGGGAAAAATACAAACAAAGTTGAATTTATTCTTTAATATATATGAAACTTAAAAATTTTACAAATACTGTTAAATATAATTGTACATATTCGTTATTTTAACGTTCAAGACTATAATATTTTTGTGTGTTTCTTTATGCAGTAGTACAATTAGTAGCTAAACATCTTGAAATTCTTATGGAAATATTTATTTTCTACTAATAATGCATTCGTTCATTCATTTTATCATATGGGCTTTAGCAATTTTAATTAAATGATTTTGCATGTATTTGAATTAACAATAGTACAATGAATATCATGGTAACGAGTGACTGGATCACTACACAGAGAAAGAATAAACAAAGTCAATATTCCAACTTTAACATGGTGATGTTTCTTTCTCTGTTGGTATTTTCTAAAGACACTGTCTTAAGGGGCAGCATGCTAACTGTTGGGAAATATGGCTTAGCCAAGGGCTGGTTAGCTACAAAGAGCAGAGACCTGAGTTTAAGTGGGCCTGGTGTCATTATGCTGTCACAAGCAGTAGAAGGGGAGGGAGGTCCTCAGAGGAGACAATAAAGACTAAAGACAGACACTCAGACCAGGGAATAAGGGGCCAGTGTCTAAAGTCAGGCGGAGACTGAGTTACTTCTAAACAAGGAATCAATCATGAGGAGATTAGCTGCTTGAACAAAAAAGAGGGAATAAATACAGTAGGAACATTAAAAAGGCCTTGGGGATATTTCCCTTTTAGATTTAGTCTTTTAAGTTGGTGCTGTGACTTCCAAAGAATTATTAAAATTTGAAGGAGTGTGATTTTTTTTCCTGTATGTTTGCACATTTTAAAACTTTCTATAACATTAGGCTGGGCACGGTGGCTCACGCCTATAATCCCAGCACTTTGGGAGGACGAGGCAGGCGGATCATCTGAGGTCAGGAGTTCAAGACCTGCCTGGCCAACATGGTGAAACCACCATCTCCACCTAAAAAAAATGCAAAAATTAGCTGGGCATGGTGGTGGGCACCTGTAATCCCAGCTACTCAGGAAGCTGAGGCAGGAGAATAGCTTGAACCCGGGAGGCAGAGGTTGCAGTGAGCCGAGATGGCACCACTGCACTCTAGCCTGGGCAGCAGAGCAAGACTCCATCTCAAAAAAAAAAAAAAAAAAACTTTCTGTAACGTTAGATGTGAAATTAAGCTAGGCAGTGAACCTTGTAGTTTTGATATTAAATGAAAAATTCTCATTAATTTTTTTTTTGACCCAGGCTGGAGTGCAGTGGCACGATCTTGGCTCACTTGCAACCTCCACCTCCTGGGCTCAGGTGATCCTCTCAACTCAGCACTCCAAGTAGCTGGGACTACAGGCAGGTGCCACCACGCCTGGCTAATATTTTGTATTTTTTGTAGAGACATGGTTTCACCATGTTGCCCAGGCTGGTCTTGAACTCCTGAGCTCAAGCCCACCTCAGGCTCCCAAAGTGCTAAGATTAAAGGCATGAACCATCGCGCCCGGCCTCATTCATTGCATTTGATTATTGCCATTACCTTTAAAAGTTGGCAGTAAACTTGAAGTCCCACCTTTTCTTTTCACTAACTGAGGAATCTTGGACAAATCACTTTACCACTCTCAGCTGCAGTTTCTTCATATGTGAAATGGAATAATGGAGTGAGAAAGAAGGGTGAGTAAATTTGTGTCTAAGGAATAAGACAGTCATTTTAGAGCTGCAGAATACTGTATAAATAGAAAACAGAATTGCCTCATGAATCAATTCTTACATAGTCTGGGTAGCTATTAGGCAAACTAATGTTTTCCATTTGTAAAACTGAGACACTGCCTATTTACACGGTAAGTGTTAGCATTTATGTAACACCTCAGGCTCCCAAAGTGCTAATGTTTACTATCTAGCTCTTCACAGAAAGGTTTGCTGACTACTGATATAATATATATATATATATATATATATATATATATATATATATACACACACACACACACACGTATCTATATGTATTTATATATTATATTTATAAATGTATAAATATGTATTTATATATTTATATATTTATACATTTATATATTTATAAATGTATAAATATGTATGGATATATAGATATGTATAAATAAATATACATTATTGACATATTTTATCAATAGTATATATGTAGACTAATATATACATATACCTACATAGAAAAGATAATAATTACCAATGCTAGTGCCAAGCATTTTACATGTATGTTTATTTAATTGTAATAACATATTTATTAGGTAGTTAAAATTATCTCCTTCCGTAGAGAGGAGGAGGAGGAAACTGAGATCCATGGAGCTTAAGGGACATATCCAAGATTGCATAGCCAATAAGTAGCTGAGTAGTGTCTAAAGTCATGCAGTGTAACCTAAGGTTCCAGCTGGCTTAAATCAAATGGTGGTGCACCTTCATATTGGCCCTGGCTGCATGAGGTCCCAAGTGAAAAGGGGGCTCTAGAGATTCACAGCTTTTCAGCCATGAGTAGGGTTTATTGAAGGAGGAAGGAAAAATACGTTTTGCTTTCCAAGTCATTCAGAAAGGGGTGTGTGTGTGTGTGTGTGTGTGTGCATGCTGGAGAGTGTGCTACAATTCCTCAGAACCCACAGAAGGCATCTTCTGTTTGTTCAAAAGGGAAGGTACATTTCACCAAACTTCCCTGTTGTTGGCATGAGTTTGCACTAATATAATAACATGCAGGTATCCATGATCACATGAAAATTCTGCCTGTTAGTTTATTAATATGACACTGAAAGTGGCAGGGAGTTAACTTTTTTTTAGAATTATGTGTAATTTGGAGAAGCTATATACTTATATTTTAACAGTTAATTTTTAAGTTATCTACCAGCATGTAACATTATGTGTCACCATTTGTTAACTTATACAAAGAGCAAAAATTTACAAACTGAACATCCCCACTGAGTTTGTCCCGAGGATGAACTTTTGATGAAATACAAAAATGTCTTTTACCCCCAAATCCTCCTGCTACAAAACTCCTCACTGTCCAGAGCCTATTGCCAGAGCTAGACTGCCTGGCAGTTGAAGAGGACAAGTGCACAAGGGAACAAATATAGACTCAATTAAAATCCAACCTTGTCCTATCTCTGACAAGGTAAAAAGAAAAAAGCAATGTGAATGGAAAACTGCATTTAGGTAAATTGTAGTAACAACCACACTACATATCCATGAAGCAGGTATCAGTTATAATAGAGAAAAGTACACAAATCATATGCATATAGCTCAATAAATTACCACAAACTAATACATTTATAACCAGCTATCAATAAAAAATTAATAAGCACCCAGAAACCCCTCTAATGTCTCATTCCAATCTAATATTCCTTTCCTCCTCTCTTAAAAGGTATGCTTTATATTCCAAAATTCGCAGTTATCCATGGAAAACTGTGTGTGGCTCTTTCAAAATTCTGTCACTAGATTCATGAACGTTGCACCTGAGAAGAAAAAAGTGAACATTCGTATTTACCATAAAATATATGTGTAGGTATTAAATGAACTAATATTTTGCTAATAGTGCTAAAAGATACTAGGTTACTTTGGATAAGGCTAGTGAAGTTTTATATATTCCTGATAGTGACCCTATTTTTGTTGCACATATTTGTACACCTGTCTTGTTTTGTGCAGCCCATTGCAAAAACAAATTTAAAAACTCTTTGTGAACAAGATCAACTTCGTAAGTGTCCTGTAGGTGGTTAATTGCTCCTTAATTATCAAGACTAATCAATAAGTATATATCTTATAGCAATAATTGCAACTTTAAAAGGATGGTAGTAGCTTTATTACAAATGAAATTGGGGATTGAGGAGATTGGATCTTAAAAACATTGGATCTGTTGATTTATGCTAATTTTTATATAAAGTCATACCCAGTGTGGCTGCTTAAACAAATTCATATTCTTACAATTGGTAAGTTTTTTTCCAATAAAATGATATATCTTGAAATGTGCATGCTTAAAGGGTAAAGTGAAATTAAATATAAGCCATTCCTTGGACAAACATATTTTAGGGTGTTGCATGGGACTTTGTATGTGTGGAGATTGTATCCAGCCAAGAGCAAAATAGCCTTTGAAGCTCATGTTGGGAATCTTAAGTGCAAAATTAATTGACTTCCAAAGCATAAAATGTATATACTATTTGTCATGAAACTTTATTTGATATTCAAATGTTTATTGTATAGTCTCTACTCACCCCCAGGACTGTTCTATTAAGACAACCTTCCTAGGTAGATTTTGTTTTTAATGCCGTTTGTGACAAATACAGTGGTAAATAATCATTGCTGGGGAAGTTATTTGTAGTCTTAGACATGTAATATTTTAAAAATATTTTTGAAGGGTTATGTCTTCATAACTTCAGCTATATCTCAAACTTCAATTTCAACAAGGATAAAGAAAAATCACGTAGAGAAGAAACAAAAGACTACTAAATGATGATGAGCTGTTGAATATTTGGGCGATATAAATTTATGGGAATTTAAAAAATAGGAATAAAAACAACAGCCCAGCTCTTCATGGTTGAATAAACAAGGTGGGAACTGCCACTGCCTCTTTCCAAATTGTATTTTAATCTTTTGCAATTTTTCTACTGTCTCTTCATATAATTAGTGGTCGATAGTTATTAATTTATTTGGCATTTATTATGCCAGTGTTAATTCATGCATAGCTAATATGCCTTAATTGGAATATGGAGGAATTTCTGATATGATGGAGTAATTCTAATGGAGTATTTATTGAGAGAAAATAAATATTATCAAATGGATCCCACTGTAGTTTATTAATTAGTCTTACACTTCATTATACAGAGTGACATTGAAATCTATACTAAATGAAAGAGCAGCAGTTTGAAAATTGGTTAGTATTTATCTTGCTATTTAATACATCTCTTTTGGAAACCACATGTAAGAACAAATTATCCAGCAACCAAGTTATCCTACCAACTATATTTCTATTTTGTGCTTTGTAGACTGGGAATCTTACAAGCTGAGCTATACCTCAGTTAGTGAGGAGATGATGGCTGAAATGAACCCATTAAAAAAAAAAAAATCCTTGTTACCTGATCCCTGCTCCTTCCAGAGCCCATTCCTGTGCACCAGTCACCTGCCTCTTGCTTCTCTTCCTTGTTTGGATTCATCTTTGGCCTTTCTTTTGCTTAAAATTTAGTGTCCGGTTTAAGGCTGAGTTCTGGAGAATTAGGCTATGAGAATTGAGTTCTAAAGATCATGGAACCCACGTTTTTCTGTGAATGTCATGTAAAGATTGGTAAAAGCAATATCTTTTACTGCCTTTGGTACAAATAAGTACTTACTCTGTGATTTCTGTGAGTTAACCCCATTTTTAACATGTGGAAGGAATTGCTTAATACTGGTGTTTCCATGGGCGTGTTTCTAGACTGTATTAGGTATTTTTACCTTTACTACTGCTAATGAAACTTCTTATTCTCTTTGTTCTTTTACAAAAAGCATTCTGATTACTTGACTGGGCTGAATAGTATTCTATGGTGTATGTGTGCCACATTTTTTTCTTTTTTTTTGAAGACATATTTTATTTTTATTTTACCAACAATTTTCAAACCACCTTATGTATTAATGATTTACTTAAGTCTTGTAAATTAAAAGGTATTTAGATTTATTACTATACATTTCTTATTTTATATGAGTACTCATTTATCTTTGAGGAATTTCTGGTTGACTGTATATCAGGTTTTACCATGTAGACACAACATATAATGTAATACATGTACATACGCATAAATACATCCAAGCATATATGTATACATATACACACATATATATACACATACACCAAAATACAGACCTTATAGCTTTCATTTTAGAATCTAATTCATGAAGTAATCACACAAACTTACTAGTTTATAAAATACAGTTGGATCCACATTATGTTTCTGACAAAACTGGGAAGTATTCATATGGCTAAATGTTTTTTGCCCTGATAGGTAACCTAATGAAGGCTATGGACAAAAATTTTGGGTAAAGAAGTTTCCATGGCAGTTTGATTTTTTAAAAAACAGTCTCTTTAGTCTCTTTTACTTTCCCTTTTTTCCTTTTTACAGTTTCAAATTATTTTAGAGTTAATTTTGAATTATTTACATTTTAATAGGAACTGGCTAAATTTTATAAGAAAAAGAAAATCTCCAAACAACCTTGAATTAATAAGTTTATCTCCTCTTTGCCAGTCTAGTTTGCTTCATTAGCAAATCAAATGCAAGTAAAAAACAATCTTAGCAGTTGTGTGTGTGTGTGTGTGTGTTTTTGCTGTTTTTATTTTATTTTAAAAATTCAACTTCTATTTTAGATAGTAGGTACATGTGAAGGCTTGTTACATGGGTTATATCGTGCCCAGGTAGTGAGCATAGTACCCAATAGGTAGATTTTCAACACACATCCCCCTCCTACTTCTTCCCTCTAGTAGTCCACAGTGTCTATTCCCATGCTTATGTTTATGTATGCTCACTATTTAGCTCCCACTTACAAGTGAGAACATGTGGCATTTGGTTTTCTATTCCTGTGTTAATTTGCTTAGGATTGTGGCCTCCAAGTTCACCCATGTTGCTCCAAAGGACATGATTTTGTTCTTTTTTATGACTGTGTAGTATTCCATGGTATATATGTAGAACATTTTCTTCTTTTTTTTTAATTTACAGAGTTTATTCAGATTTGTCCAGTTTTACATGTACTTGTATTTGTGTATGTCTGTCTTTGAATTTCTTTTTTTTTCTATTGACATCATTTATTATTGCCTGCTGACATTGTATCATTCTGCTCCCTTAATTTTCTTTCTTCATTTTTATTTTTATTATTATACCTTAAGTTCTAGGGTACATGTGCACAACGTGCAGGTTTGTTACATATGTATACATGTGCCTTGTTGGTGATTATCTAATCCATCACTGAGGGGACACCTAGGTTGATTCCATATCTTTGCTATTGTGAATAGCATTGCAATGAACATATGAGTGCATGTCTTTTTGGTAGAATAATTTATTTTCTCTTGTACATATAACTAGTAATGGGATTGTTAGGTCAAAATGTAGTTCTGTTTTAAGTTCTTTGAGAGATCTCCAAACTGCTTTCTGGAATGGTGGCTGAACTAGTTTTTATTCCCACCAACAGTGTGTAAGTGTTCCCTTTTCACTATAGCCTCGCCAGCATATGTTGTTTTTTGATTTTTTAATAATAGCCTTTCTGACTGGTGTGAGATGGTGTCTCGTTGTAGTTTTGATTAGCATTTCTCTGATGATTAGTGATGTGGAGCATTTTTTCATTATGTTTGTTGGCTGCTTGTATGTCTTCTTTTGAGAATTGTCTGTTCATGTCTTTTACCCATTTTTTAATGGGGTTGTTTGTTTTTTTGCTTGTTGAATTGCTTAAGTTCCCTATAGATTCTGGCTATTAGGCCTTTGTCAGATGCATAGTTTGAAAATATCTTCTCCCATTCTGTGGGTTGTCTGCTCTGTCCGTGGTTTCTTTTGCTGTGCAGAAGCTCATTAGTTTAATTAGGTCCCACTCAATTTTTGTTTTTGTTGCAATTGACAGCACATATTTTGGAGAAGAAATAGCCCTTGATGAAAAAAGTCAAGACATGTAATCTTGATCCACAGATAATGATTTGAAATTGGAGGAAAGAAAATCGTTGAATGTAGTATATAGGGTAAAAAATAAAAATAAATGAAGCCAGAATACACCATCAAGTTTAAGAGTCTCATCCATAGCTACTGTTGTAAACTGATGAGCCCCCTAGTTTAATAATACTATGGAGAAACAGAACATGAATCCTTGGGGATGGTAGAGTATTTGGAAATGGATTTTGGTAATGAGGAAGTCCACTAATAACATTTGGTAGCTTATGTCAGCCTATTTCATCCTAGGATCTCAACTTTCTTTATAAATATAGCTTTCAATAAAGTAATCAGCCATAGTTTACAAGTGTATAACCCAAGTTGTAGCAGTGAAGTAATATATATAATTAGCTATTGAATGCAAGATTGAGAATGGCCACTTACTCATTGCCTAATTACTTACCTACAATGTTCCATTTTGTTTATGTCCAACTTTTTTTTTTTCTGTTTTGGGATACCTGAAGGGTTAAGCTTGCAGGGGTGAGAGTTTAAAGCTTTTTGTGTATATGTGTATCTGCATATGTCTGTGTGTATGTGGCTGTATATACACATGTATATCTTCACTCTGTTCTATTTACTATAATTATTATGTTTTCTGAAAAAAATATCGCTATTTACAAATGATTTCACAGAAAATGTCTAAGGCTGATATTTTAGAGTATTTTATTATAAAACAAACTTTAAAGTAGTAAAATTTGAGTTTGGGATGAAGTGGCTGATTAGAGGTAGAATTCAGAAAGATTTCCAGATGGGAAGCTAAGATGAAGCCATGAGATTTGGTATACATTTATTTCCATTTGTTTTCTTTGGTGGTGGAAGCAAATGTCTGGTGAAATGGTTCTGTAAAGACCAGGGACAAACCAGAACATTAAAAAAAAATCAAGTTCCTGGATTGTTTTTTTTCCTTTGCCAAAGATGATCAGAATATTGTTAGACATATTTTTTTCTTAAAATTATGTATTTTCAAATACGAAGTCAGAAAGAGTATCCATCCTTTAGATTTACTCTGTGTAACATTAAGTGGTGTACTAACAAAACTGACAAAATGTGTTTTTTTGAAGCACACTGACAGGCAAAGAGTTTTTTTTTGAGACAGAGTCTCATTCTGTTGCCCAGACTGGAGTGCAGTGGTGTGGTCTCAGCTCAATGCAACCTCCGCCTCCTTGGTTCAAGTGATTCTTCTGCCTCAGCTTCCCGAGTAGCTGGGATTACAGCCATGCGCCAGCATGTCTGGCTAATTTTTCTATTTTTAGTAGCGATGGGGTTTCACCATATTGGCCAGGCTGGTCTCGAACTCCTGACCTCAAGTGACCCACCCACCTCGGCCTCTCAAAGTGCTGGGATTGCAGGTGTGAGCCAGTACTCCCAGCCCAAAGTTTAATAATATTGGAAGCTAGAAACAACAACAACAAAAACCAGTTGAGCTCTCAGTATAAAGCTGCTTGTCAGACTTACAATCAAAATGTAAATGTCAATACATTAAATACTTTTGCTGCAGCACAGCAAAAGAGAGAGAAACAGCTCAATGAGGTACACTGCCGGAAACTGGGGTGAAAAATGCTGTTTCAATTTTCTGAAAGTTGCATAAGACTAAAATATACTCCAGTAAATTAGGCTTTTACTTTAACAGGTTTGGTGTTTCATTTAGGGAGGAAAAAAGGAGATTAAACTCCAAAATCTCTTCCCATTCCATCCATTTTGACAGCTTTAAATGAAGAAAAGTAGTTTTTTGGTTATTACCTTCCATGATAATAATATTTTTTCTCATACTTCTCTGGCACATAAGACATATCCTTTGCTGTTGTCAATGTGTCGTAGCATTTTCCCTTCATATTGAACTTGCTTTCTAAACCAACTGTATCAAGTAGATATAATTTTTTGTGTAACTTTTCTAGCACCACAACCTGCCATTTGAGTGGAAATGCCTAGTAAACAGAATTTAATTTTCCAAAGTGTTTGTTCTTAGACTTTGTGGAAATTCAAGCTTTGCACTTTTTTCGTTTTCTACCGAGTTCTGTGCTCACAAGATAAGTGATTTTTTCTGGGAACTTCATTTATCTAGACTATAGGAGCACCCTAGTCTATAAAAAAAATAAAAATTTATATGCAAAAAGAAGTTGGGGGAGTTTTTCATGAGTGATCTTTAGCTTACTGAAAAGATCTGTCAAAGGGTTACTTCCAGAAGCCAGCTGTAAAAGTACATCTGCTTATTTTACACATAATTAACTACTTTATAAAGAAACCAAGGCAGAGAAAATTAAAGAATTAGGAATTCACTGCCAATTATAGAGCAATTAAAAATTAAGACATATTTATCTAAATCATCGTGGAAACCAACATGAAAACATAGTCTCTATGCCTAACAGGAGCACATGTACACAGTAGTCTGCTTGAGAAGCTGACATTCTTGATATTCATTGAATCATCTATCCTGGACTGTGCTTCGTTTGAAGGCCGCGAAAGTTGTTTTAGTTTAAATATATATCAGCTTTCTTCTCAAGGGACTTACAGTCTAATGAGAAGGATCAAATTATCAAATTGATGAATGTTTGACTCTTGCACTTAGGGAGGAGTGACTTGCTCTGGAATTGAGATTAAATGCTGTAGTTAGTGGTTCTCAGTTAATCAGAAAAATCTTCCAGAAAACAGGTTTAAACTTATGACCTAACTATCAAAGGGAAATATTCCCAATCCTATGGAGCAAGCTAACAATTTAGTGAGGTAGGAAGAAGGTATAGTTTAGATCTGGAAATCTGATTTATCTCTTAACTATGTGAGTTGGGGGAAGTTACTTTCTCTAAGCTTCAGTTTTCTTCATCTTAAGACTAATGGTCTTTATCTACTTCATAGCATTGTTGTGGAAACTAAATGAAATATAGTTGGAATGTGATTTGCACAGTCCTTGGCATGATTTCTCTAATTGACTTTCTATATATTCTCAATCTGCACCCATCAAGGTGTCATGCATTCTAGATTCACATCTGCCTCTGAGTTACAACACCTCATCCAGGTTAGTGGACAATCTGCCCGAAGTGCAAAAGTGGGTGCTGAAGAGCGGTTGGAAAGAGAGTCTCTGAGGACATGGTTGACACTAATAAAGAGTAGCCTGTTGGCTGGACTGCTCAGCTTAGAGGCACTAAGTCTGTAAGATTGGAAATTTGAAACACTTCAGCAACAAATGGAGAAAAACCAAAAACAAAAGTCAAAGTGAAAGAGGATTTAAACAGGAAGAATTAGAGAACTCCTTTGATGAATGATAATTTTCTTGAGAACAGAGATCAATGTTCTGCAACTTAAAAATTGGTTTGTAATTGTTTTTCTTTTGGCAGAGACTTGCTCTGTCGCCCAGGCTGGAGTCCAGTGGTGTGATCTCAGCTCACTGCAACCTCTGCCTCCTGGGTTCAAGAGATCCTCCTGCCTAGGCCTCCCAAGGAGCTGGGACTACAGGCACGTGCCACCAGGCTCAGCTAATTTTTGTATTTTTAGTAGAGATGGGGTTTCAGTATGTTGGCCAGGCTGGTCTCAAATTCCTGACTTCAAGTGATCCATCCGCCTCAACCTCCCGAAGTGCTGGGATTACAGGTGTGAGCCGCTGCGCCCAGCCTATAATTGTTTAATGAATGTATAAATAGGAAATCCCTGTTTACTGGGCACTAGCAGGGTTTTCTGCACACATGTGCCTCGACACTGACACACTGACAAGATAGGTTAGGAATGGTGAGTGCCTGTGACTTTCCCTATCAGTCCCTGATACAAATTCAAAGAAGAGATGATAGCCCTTATGAAAGCTAGGTTGCTGGTATCTGGAACTCAATTTCCTCTTTGGTTCAAGCAGAAAAGACTAGAAAGCCAGAGAGTCAGTGGTTAATGCAGTGTTAGAGTGGAGCAAGAGAAACAATTCTAGACAATGATTCTTCTACCTATGGCTAACAGGTGTCCATGGGACAGCATCGGGATGGGAAAGCTCAGCAGCTTAGGGAAGTACTCATACCCTGTCACTGGTAATAACAAGATCCAAAAGTAAGATGATATATAAAATAATTTTTACTTTCTGGACCACTATTTTTTTAAAAAATGATTATATCAGGAGGTTTTCTGCTTCAAAAGTTCCCCATTCTGTCTGGTTAGGTACAAGAAATTGGCTGAAATATCCAACGAATACAGGTAGATCAGAGACACCCAGCTGTTCTCCTCTTGGCATGAAAAAGACTTTTTTTCTTGCTAGTTATTTATTATTTTACTAAATGCCCAAAGGCTGTCAGATGGTGACATTTTTTTTCATCCACAGATAATCTAATAGTCTATTAGAAGTAGCCACTTACATAACAGTGGACACCTGAGCCTCTCCTGTATTAACTTTTCTTCAGTATTACCTTTGGACATGGGCCTGACACCAGAGAGATTGATGTTAGCTAGAGGTCAAATTTTAATGCATCAAGTCAGGTTTGTTTCTGAGAAGCCACCTGTTCCACAGAAACAGAAATGGTAGGGCGGAAGGGTAGAGTGAAAGGTCTCCCAATTTATCCCCCTATCTCTATGCAGTACATGGAGTGACCCAAATATTACATTAATTTTAATTGTACTTCTTGTTGTGCTGAGCTTGGTGATGTATCATTTCCTGCCTCTGTTCCTCAGAGTGTAGAATTTGTTTCACTGATAACACTGATAACTGCTGCCATAATGTCATCAAATCAAACATGAATTGATTTTGTGATTGAAACTGCAGATGCTACTATTATCTGATTACTTTAAATGCCTTTCTAAAGATACATTTGGCCTCTGTCTAATTCTCTCTGCTTTGATTTTCCTAGTATCCTCAGGGTTGACTTGTTACTCAAGGGTGAGTGCATCCTGTCAATATATAAATGATTCCCAGGGACTGGGGAAGAAACAGGAACCCTAGACTTCTGGACTACAGAGCCTCATTTTTGGTTCCTTTTAACTACATGTCCTTTAGATAATACTATTTTCATAGGAGAAAAATAAAATGAAGCTGAGAGTTCAGTTTTTTTTTCTAAGAAGAAGTTCACCCAAGCTTAAGTGTCCTGGGTTATATTGAAAGTGAGCGGACAACCCAGGCCCCTCCAGTATATCTGCAGCCTCCACCAAGATCCCAAAAAATCCAGCAGAACACTCTCTTGTCTCTGACCTTACACAACTCACCCAGTTTTCAACATGGTACAGTCTAGCTGCAAATAGATGACAGATGGCATTTTTTTTTGTTGATTAAGTATGAGACTCTCCTATAGAGGCAGGAGATCCTAAAACGTTTTATTTTGGTCAGTGGACTAATGACAAATAGCATAACACAAAAGCATTCAAAAATTAGTCAGACTTTTTATTGAGATTCTCCTGTCATCTAACCTTCCCAGAATTTAAAATTAGCTTGTCTGTACCTGTATTTTTGCCTCTGTGTTTGTGTGTCTGTGTATGTGTGTGTGAGAGAGAGAGAGAGAGAAAGAGAGAAACAGAAAGAGAGAGAGAGAAATTGATTTTTCATACCCTACCTTATAATTTAATAATTAATTAGCATCTTCTCCAGTGATGGAATGGAGAGATTGTTCATTAAGTCTGCAGATGGTTCTATGCTGGGCAAGCTAACAACATATAAAGTTAGTTAATTTCAGAGTTGCACAAAGCAGTGGAGAAGTAGATGAGATGGTCACGAAGTGTGGAAATTGGGTTGGGTCATGAATGAGAAATAAAAGAACCATAGCTTTATAGAGAGAAGACCAAGAAAATTAAAATAGCACAGTGGAAAAAATTTTCAGAAATATAAAATTTAGGACAATACTCTTCAGTGAAAATTGATAAGTGCAAGAAAAACCTTTACAACTTTTAGATATAAGGCTGGAAAATTGCTAAAAATTATTATAGAATAATATAATAATATAAATTTATATTATTATAGAATGAATAATAAAAGACTAAAATTAGATAACTGCATTGCATTTTATAGTGGTAAGGTAGAAGTCAACTAGATCAAGTGATAATGTGCTTTGTTATATAAAAATTAGATAAATTTATTAATTAAAAATATGTTTTGCTCACTTTATATGTGACCTCCTTTAAACCATTTTCCATATTGCCAACATAGTACTTTTTAAGTTTTTTTGAAATAATTTTAGATTTACATAAGTTTCAAAAATAAATTCCATATACTCTTTATATAGATTTCCCAAATGTTAACATTTTACCACATTTATCACTCTCTCTTGTTTCCTTTCTCTCTTTCTTCCTTCCCCTTTCCCTTCCTTCCATCTTTCCTTTTTTCTCTCTTTATAGTTATATATTTTGAACTGTTTGAGAGTAAACTGGAAACATGATATTTCTTTATATTGAAATACTTCAGTGTGTATTTATTTAAAATAAGTAATTTTTTTACATGGCTAAAGTACAGTGGTCAGCATCAAAAAATTACCAGTATAAAACTATTATATAATCTATAAATTTTGATCACATTTTCAGATTTCCCCACTAATATCATAATCGTACAATAATTTTTTTCTCTGGTTCAGACATGTATCCATGTTCACAAGTTACATTTAGTTATCATCAGAATAATCATCTAAAAAAACCCAGATCTGCTAGTACCACTCCCTGGCTAAACGTTTTATGATGATTTTGTAGTTTTCTTAAGATAAAATATCCCAGGCTATGTGTGATATTCAGCTGGTATGAAGCTCTGAAACCATATTGGCTTGTTAATGGCTCATCCAATTGTCTTGAGTTCATTCACATTGGTTAGTGCCTGTGTTAGAATGGTTGTTCAATATTTGCAATATTACTTCTGACCATGTCTCATAAAATCCTGCTTTCTTTTCCAGATTCATATTTTGAATTCTCTCCCAAGCTGTCTTTGCTGTGTTCCTACTTGTCACAAACTCCAGAGGGGAAAAGGTTTTATGCTACTTGAAATCTAACAATGTAGCTGCCACAGTTTCAAAGATGTTGCCAGAAGACACAAAACCCCTGGGTCAGAGACAAAGAATATTACTATGCATGGTACAAGAGGGAGATTAATGTTCACATGGTTCTCTTGACCCTCAAGTGCCATGAGGATGATGCGGAGGAAGACTCGGGTGGATGCTGTGCACACAGTGAATCTGTGTTTCAGCTTAGGAGCTGTTCTAAAAAGTAGGCTGCTAGCAAACTTGTCCAAACTTTGCCCTGGAGAAGATGTTATCTTTATTGTTCTGCGCAGGGAAACAGATCTGCACTTTGCCCCACAGAGAGAAACTATGTATCTTCTAAGGTTGTTTGCTATATAAATATTTTGGAAAGATAGTCCAGTAAAAGAGTTGATTCAAGTCATCCATAATACCTCTTATGGAGAAATGTCTCTCAACAACACTAACCATCTTTCAGTTTCTGTAATGGCCTATGCCCACTCTGAGTGCTGCTGTATTTGCTATTTTTCTTTTGGAAACATTTTCCCCGGCTTTCTCTGTCTCATCTAATTAACTTCTCATCATTCTTTAAATGTATTTTTTTTTTCAGTTCCTCAGATTAAGTTGGATTCCCCCATAGGTTGCTATTTATTCCATTAAGAGGATTTATTGGCTTGATGTGGTGGCTCATGGCTGTAATCCCAGCACTTTGGGAGGCCGAGGCAGGTGAAGCACAAGGTCAGGAGTTCAAGACCAGCCTGGCCAAGATGTTGAAACCCTGTCTCTACTAAAACTACAAAAACTAGCCAGGGGCAGTGGCAGGTGCCTGTAATCCCACCTACTCGGGAGGCTGAAGCAGGAGAATTGCTTGAACCCTGGGCGGCAGAGGTTGCAGTGAGCTGAGATCACGCCACCACACTCCAGCCTGGGCGACAGACTGAGATTCTCATCCAGAGTCAAATTTTCAAAAAAAAAAAAAAAAAAAAAGATTTATCACACTGTGATTTATGTCAGCGTAAACATTCGATTAATGTTTGTCTCTCACAGTAGACACAATTTCATAAATGTCAAAGACTGTGCTATGTTGCTTAACTTGAATCTCCAAAATTTAGCATAATAACTAACACATGGTACACAATATATGTTTTGGAGTGAAAAAGAAAATATGTGTCAAACATGTAGTATTTAAGTTAGCAGGACCTGTGCTTGTGCAATCTCATAGCAGTTATTCCAGATTTTTTGAGTATTTGATTTTGTCAAATCATCTGAAAATAATTAGAATCTGGTCTATTTATTTCTAGTATTTATACCTCAATTATTGTATATGAGTGGGTGCACATGTGTGTGTAACTGTAGTGGCTAGAATCTGTAATATAATGATGTGAGTACCAGTGACAGTGGGCATTTCTATGTTGTTCAACTCAAACAAGAATAGTTCTAATCTTTCATTAAATATAATTCTTCTAGAAGATACCTTTAAAGAAGTTTCTTTTTATTCATACAAGCATATTTTGAAGATATTGCAGGCTCAGTTCATCACCACCAAATAAAGATAAATTTCAATAAAGCAAGTCACACTATTTTTTTGGTTTCCCAGTACATATAAAAGTTAAGTTTACACTATACTGTAGTCTATTAAGTGTGCAATATACATATGTTTAAAAATATATACATACCATATAAAAAACTTTATTGCTAAAAAATGCTACTGATCACCTGAGCCTTCAGCAGGTTGTAATCTTTTTCCTAGTGGAGGCTCTTACCTTGATGTTGATGGCTGTTGACTGATCAGGATGGTGATTGCCAAAGGTTGTGGTGGCTGTGGTAGTGTCTTAAAATAGAAAATAAAGTTTTCTCCATCTATTTATTCTTCCTTTCATGAAAGATTTGAGATGCTGTTGAATACTATTTTACATGCAGTTGAACCTTTTTCAAAATTAGTGTCAATCCTCTCAAACCCTGCCATTACTTTATCAACTAAGTTTATGTAATATTCTAAATATTTTGTTGTCATTTTAACAATGTTCACTGAATTTTCGCCAGGAATTGATTCTGTCTCAAGAAGCCACTTTCTTAGAAGCAAGTCTTCATCTGTTCAGGCTTTATCATGATATTGCAGCAATTCAGTTACATCTTTAGGGTCCACTTCCAATTCTATTTCTCTTGCTATCGCTACCCAATGTGTAGTTATTTCCTCTATTGAAGTCTTAAACCTCACAAAGTCATTCATGAGGGTTGGAATCAACTTCCAAACTCCTGTTAATGTTGACATTTTGACCTCTTCCATGAATCATGAATGTTTTTAATGGCATCTAGAATTATGAATCCTTTCTAAAAAATTCTCAACTTATTTTGCACAGGTCCATTGGAGGAATCACTATTTATGGCAGCTATAGCCTTAAGAAATATATTTCTTAAATAATAAAACTGGAAAGCAAAAATTACCCCTTGATCCATGGGCTGAAGAATAGATGTGGTGTGAGCAAGCATAAAAACATTAATCTTCTTGTACATCACTATCAGAGCTCTTTAGTGGCTAGGTGCATTGTCAATTAACCTTAATATTTTAAAAGTAATCTTTTTTTAATGAGCAGTAGGTCTCAACAATGGGCTTAAAATATTCAGTAAACCATGATGTAAACAGATATGGTGTCATCTAGGTTTTGTTATTCCATTCATAGAACACAGGTAGAGTACATTTAGCATAATTCTTAATGGCTTTAGGTTTTTTTTTTTTTTTTTGAGACGGAGTCTTGCTCTGTCACCCAGGCTGGAGTGCAGTGGCACGATCTCAGCTCACTGCAAACTCCGCCTCCCGGGTTCACGCCATTCTCATGCCTCAGCCTCCTGAGTAGCTGGGACTACAGGTGCCCACGACCATGCCTGGCTAATTTTTTCTATTTTTAGTAGAGATTGGGTTTCACCATGTTAGCCAGATGGTCTCGATCTCCTGACCCTGTGATCCTCCTGCCTCTGCCTCCCAAAGTGCTGGGATTACAGGCATGAGCCACTGTGCCCGGCCAATGGCTTTAGGATTTTTAGAATGGTAAATGAACATTGGTTTCAACTTGAAGTCACCAGCTTCATTAACCTCTAACAAGAGAATCAGCCTGTCCTTTAAAGTTTTGAAAGCGGGCATTGACTGCTTCATTCTAACCATGAAAGTCCTAAATGGTGTTTTCTTCCAATAGAAGGCTGTTTTATCTACATAGAAAATCTGTTGTTTAGTGTAGCCAGTTTCAGCAATTATTTTAGCAAGATTTTCTAGATAACTTGCTGTAGATTCTACATCAGCATTTGCTACTTCACCTTGCACTTTTGTGGTATACATAGATGGCTTCTTTTCTTAAACTTCATGAACTAACTTCTGCTAGCTTCAAACTTTTCTCTGGCAGCTTCCTCACTTCTCTCAGCTTTCATAGAATTGAAGAAATTTAGAGCCCTGCTCTGGATTAGGCTTTGGCTTAAGGGAATGTTGTGGTTGGTTTGATCTTCTATCTAGACCACTAAAACTTTCTCCATATCAGCAATAAGGCTGTTTCACTTTCTTATCATTTGTGTGTTCACTGGAGAAGCACTTTTAATTTTCTTTAAGTTTTCCTTTGCATTTATTACTTGGATCACTGTTTGACACAAGGGGCCTAGCTTGTAGCATATCTCAGCTTTCAACATGCCTTCCTCAGTAAGCTTAATCATTTCTCTTTTGACTTAAAGAGAGACATATACAACTTTTCCTTTCATTTTGACACTCAGAAACGATTGTAGGATTATTAATTAGCCTAATTATAATGTTATTGTCTCTCAGGGAATACAGAAGCCTGAGGAAAGGGAGAGAGACGGGGGAATGGTTGGTCGGTGGAGCAGTCAGAACATAATCAACGCTTATCAATTAAGTTCACCATCTCATATGGGCCTGGTTCATGGCACCCCAAAACAATTACAATAGTAACATCAAAGATTACTGATTACAGATAATCAGAATGAATATAATAATGAAACAGTTTAAAATATTGTAGGAATTACCAAAATGTGACAGTTACAAAATGAGCACATGCTGTTAAAAAACATGGTGCTGTTAGACTTGTTGGACATGGGGTTACCAGAAACCTTCAATTGGTAAAAAACACAATTATCTGTAAAATATAAAGTGAAGTACAGTAAAACAAAGTATGCCTTTTTTTGTTGTTTGTTTTTTGAGACAGAGTTTCTCTCTGTTGCCCAGGCTGAAGTGCAGTGGCACAATCTTGGCTTACTGCAACCTCTGCCTCCTGAGTTCAAGCCATTCACGTGCCTCAGTCTCCCGAGTAGCTGGGATTACAGGCATGTGCCATCATGCCCGGCAAATTTTTGTATTTTTAGTAGAGACGGGGTTTTGCCTTATTGGCCAGGCTGGTCTCGAACTCCTGGCCTCAAGTGATCTGCTCGCCTCAGCCTCCCAAAGTGCTGGGATTACAGGCATGAGCCACTGTGTCCAGTCTATGCCTGTATTTGCTAAGAATTTTTTTTGAAAGAATATATATTGAGTTTTATTAACCACTTCCTCCTCAATATTTTTTGAGTTTTATTAACCACTGCCTCCCCAATATTTTTTTCTTTTAACCAATTTTTGAATCAGTAGAGCAAGTATTGCATTCCAAGAAAACATTACAAGGTTATTATATCATTTAAGAATGATATTCGTTGCAAGTGACAAAATACCAAAATTAACAGTGAAGTATCCCAACACAAAGTAATGTTAAATATTTGAGATAATGAATGTTAATTACATTGATCTGATCACTACACACTATATGTATCAAAACAACATTGTGTATCCTGTGAATACATACAAATACCTGTCAATTAAAAAATAAATTAATAACATCAGTAGGGTTTCTATGCATGAACAATGAACTAGTTGAAAATCAAGACGGCAATCCCACTTACAACAGCTACAAAAAATAAAACCACCTAAGAATAAATTTAACCAAGGTGGTGAAAAACCTCTACAAGGAAAACTATAAAACACTGATGAAAGAAATTAAAGAGGATACAAACAAATGCAAAGACATTCCATGCTCATGAATTGAAGAATTAGTATTATTAAAATGACAATGCCACCCAAAAGAATCTACAGACTCAATGAAACCCCTATCAAAATACCAGTGACATTCTTCACAAAAATAGAAAAAACATTCTAACATTTCTATGGAAACACAAAAGACCTCAAATAGCAAAGCAATCCTGAGCAAAAAGAACAAAACTGGAGGTATTGCACTGCCAGACCTCAAAATATCCTAAAAAAAAAAAACGCAAAGTAAATACAAAAGATAGGCATTACATCACATTACAAGAAATCTGGAATTAAGTTGTTCCAAAATAGGTCTGACTTAACAGCATTAGGACTCAGACATAGTTCTCTGAGATTCTTCTGGCCGACCCTTCATGATTCTTAGATGACTCTAGCAACTTTTCGTACCATGTTCTCATACAGAAGCCAAAGCCTTTATGTATGTCACTTTTAAATGGAAGTAGATATTTAAAAACATCAAACTTTAAACATGTATTGATATGTAGCTTAGTATTTATAGATTGAAGCAAAATCCATTAAAATTTGATATGTTTGAATTTATAAAAAATTTAAAAAGCAGTTATCATGATGAGTTTGGATATGTACATTATAACTCTAATGCCACTTTTAATCGATAACTTATAAACATTTAAAGTATTATATTTGAAAGAAAATTATTATTTTTTTATACATTGAATAGAGGTTATTTTGAAGTGCACATTTCAACATTTTTCTAAAAATACTACACCAAAACTTTGTTGAAAATACTTGCCTTTTTCAGAAATATATGTGACTCAATTCTAGGCAAATATTTAAAAAATAAAAACACATTTGGATAATATAGGCAGCATTTTATTATAAATTTATTTCAAAAACCTCACATTTTCTGCAAATAAAATCAAGAAGTAAAGAATTAAGGGACAATTAATTAATGAGGATAATAGGAATTCCAGGTGTAAATCATAAAATCATTATTTAATCAAGGACTTAATTAGTTGCTTTATCCACTCGATTGATGGGCATTTGGGTTGGTTCCACGATTTTGCAATTGTGAATTGTGCTGCTATAAACATGTGTGTGCAAGTATCTTTTTTGAATAATGATGTCTTTTTCTCTGGGTAGATACCCAGTAGTGGGGTCGCTGGATCAAATGGTAGTTCTACTTTTAGTTCTTTAAGGAGTCTCCACACTGTTTTCCATAGAGGCTCTACTGGTTTACACTCCCATCATCAGTGTAAAGTGTTCCCTGTTCACCACATCCATGCCAGCATCTACTGTTTTTTGATTTTTTGATTATGACCATTCTTGCAAGAATAAGGTGGTATCACACTGTGGTTTTGATTTGCATTTCCCTGATCATTAATGATGTTGAGCATTTTTTCATATGTTTGTTGGCCATTTGTATATCTTCTTTTGAGAATTGCCTATTCAAGTCCTTAGCCCACTTTTTGATGGGATTTTTTTTTTCTTACTGATTTGTTTGAGTTCACTATCGTTTCTGGATATTAGTCCTTTGTCAGATGTATAGATTGTGAAGATTTTCTCCCACTCTGTGGGTTGTCTGTTTACTCTGCTGACTGTTCCTTTTGCCGTGCAAAAGCTCTTTAGTCTAATTTGGTCCCAGCTGTTTATCTTTGTTTCTATTGCATTTGCCTTTGGGTTCTTGGTCATGAAATCCTTGCCTAAGCCAGTGTCTAGAAGAGTTTTACCAATGTTATCTTCTAGAATTTTTATAGTTTCATACCTTAGATTTAAGTCCTTAATCCATCTTGAGTAGATTTTTGCATAAATTAATAGATGAGGTTCCAGTTTTATTCTCCTACATGTGGCTAGCCAATTATCCCAGCACCATTTGTTGAATATAGTGTCCTTTCCCCACTTTATGTTTTTGTTTGCTTTGTCAAAGATCAGTTGGCTGTAAGTATTTGGGTTTATTTCTGGGTTCTCCATTCTGTTCCATTGGTATGTGCCTATTTTTATACCAGTACCATGCTGTTTTGGTGACTATGGCCTTATAGTATAGTTTCAAATCAGGTAATGTGATGCCTCCAGATTTGTTCTTTTTGCTTAGTCTTTCTTTGGCTATGTGGGCTCTTTTTGGTTTCATTTGAATTTGACAATTGTTTTTTCAAATTCTGTGAAGAATGATGGTGGTATTGTGATGGCAGTTGCATTGAATTTGTAGGTTGCTTTTGGCAGTGTGGTCATTTTCATAATATTGATTCTACCCATCCATGAGCATGGGATATGTTTCCATTTGTTTGTGTCATCTATGATTTATTTCAGCGGTGTTTTATAGTTTTTTTTTGTAGAGGTCTTTCACTTCCTTGGTTAGGTATATTTTGAAGTTTTCTTTTTTACAGCTATTGTAAGAGGGGTTGAGTTCTTGATTTGATTCTCAGCTTGGTCGCTGTTGGTGTGTAGAAGAGGTACTGGTGTGTGTACATTAATTTTGTATCTGGAAACTTTGCTGAATTCTTTGATCAGTTCTAGAAGCTTTCTGGAGGAGTCTTTAGGGTTTTCAAGATAAACGATCATACTGTCAACAAACAGCAACAGTTTGACTTCCTCTTTACTGATTTGGATGCCCTTTATTTCTTTCTCTTGTCTGATTGCTCTGGCTAGGACTTACAGTACTATGTTGAATAGAAGTGGTGAGAATGGGCATCCTTGTCTTGTTCCAGTTCTCAGGTGGAATGCTTTTAACTTTTCCTTGTTCAGTATTATGTTGGCCGTGTGTTTGTCATAGATGGCTTTATTATATTGAGGTATGTCCCTTCTATGCAAATTTTGCTGAGAGTTATAATCATAAAAGGATGCTGGATTTTTTTGAATGCTTTTTCTGGATCTATTGAGGTGATTATGTTATTTTTGTTTTAAATTCTGTTGATGTGGTGTATCACATTTATTGACTTGCATATGTTAAATCATCCTTGCATTCCTGGTATGAGACCCACTTGATCATTGTGGATTTTTTTTTTTGATATGTTGTTGGGCTCAGTTAGCTAGTATTTTGTTAAAGATTTTTTGTATCTATGTTCATCAAGGATATCAGTCTGTACTTTTCTTTTTTTGTTATGTCCTTTTCTGATTTTGGTATTATGGTGATACTGGCTTCATAGAATGATTTAGGGAGGGTTCCCCCTTTCTCTATCTTGTGGAATAGTGTCAAAAGGGTTGGTACCAATTCTTTGAATGTCTGGTAGAATTCTGCTGTGAATCCATCTGGTCCTGGACTTTTTTTTGTTGGTAATTTTAAAATTACCATTTCAATCTCACTGCTTGTATTGGTCTGTTCAGGGTGTCTAATTTTTCCTGGTTTCAGCTAGGAGGGTTGTAGCTTTCCCATAATTTATCCATCTATTCTAGGTTTTCTAGTTCATGTGAATAATGGTGTTCATAGTAGCCTTGAATAATCTTTTTTATTTTTGTGGTGTTGTAATATCTCCCTTTTTGTTTCTAATTAAGCTTATTTGGATTTTCTGTCTTCTTTTCTTGGTTAATTTTGCTAATGGTCTATCAATTTTATTGGTTCTTTCAAAGATCCAACTTTTTGTTTCATTTATCTTTTGTATTTTTTTTTGTTTCAATTTCATTCGTTCTGCTCTGATCTTGGTTATTCCCTTTCTTCTGCTGAGTTTGGGTTTGGTTTGGTTTTGTTTCTCTAGTTCCTTAAGGTGTGAACTCAGATTGTCTGTGCTCTTTTGGACTTTTTGACATAAGCGTTTAGGGCTATGAACTTTCCTCTTAGCACCACCTTTGCTGTGTCCCAGAGGTTATGGTAGGTTGTGTTACAATTGTCATTTCATTCAAAGATTTTTTAAATTTTCATCTTGATTTCATTTTAGACCCAATGATCATTCAGGAGCAGGTTATTTAATTTCCATGTATTTGCATTGTTTTAAAGGTTTCTTTTGGAGTTGATTTTTAGTTTTATTCCACTGTAGTCTGAGAGAGTGCTTTGTTATAATTTCAGTTTTTTTGAATTTATTGAGGCCTGTTTTGTGGCCTATCATATGGTCTATCTTGGAGAAAGTTCCATGCGCTGTTGAATAGAATGTATATTCTGCAGTTGATGGATGGAATGTTCTGTATATTGCTATTAAGCCTGTTTGTTCCAGGGTATAGTTTACATCCATTGTTTCTTTGTTGACTTCCTGTCTTGATGACCTGTCTGGTGCTGTGAGTGGAGTATTAAAGTTTCCCACTATTATTGTGTTGAAATCTATCTCATTTCTTTGGTCTATTAGTAATTGTTTTATAAATTTGGGAGCTCCAGTGTTAGATGAATATATATTTAGGATTGTGATATTTTCCTGTTGGGCAAGGCCTTTTATTCTTAAATAATGACCCTTTTTGTCTTTTTTAACTGCTGTTGCTTTAAAGTTTGTTTTTTTCTGATATAAGAATAGTTACTCCTGCTTGTTTTTGTTGTGCATTTACCTGAAATGTCTTTTTCCATCCCTTTACTTTAAATTTGTGTGAGTCCTTATGTGTTAGGTGAGTCTCTTGAAGGCATCAGAGAGTTGGTTGGTAAATTCTCATCCATTCTGCCATTTTGTATCTTTTAAGTGGAGCATTTAGGCCATTTACATTCAATGTTAGTATTGAGATGTAAGGTTCCATTCCCTTCACTGTGCTGTTTGTTGCCTGCATACCTTGTTTTTTCATTTTTCGTGTTTGTTTTTTAAATTGTATTTTTGCTTTATAAGTCCTGTGAAATTTATGCTTTAAAGAGGTTCTGTTTTGGTGTATTTCCAGGATTTGTTTCAAGATTTAGAGCTCCTTTTCGCAGTTCTTGTTGCGTTGGCTTTGTAGTGGTGAATTCCCTCATCATTTGTTTGTCTGAAAAAGACTGTATCTTTCCTTTATATATGAAGTTTAGTTTCACTGGATACAAAATTATTGGCTGATAATTGCTTTGTTTGAGGAGGCTGAAGATAGGGCCCCAATCCCTTTTAGCTTGTAGGGTTTCTGCTAAGAAATCTGCTGTTAATCTGATAGGTTTTTCCTTTACAAGTTACCTGGTACTTTTGTCTCACAGTTTTTAAGATTCTTTCCTTCATCTTAACTTAGATAACCTGAAGACAATGTGCCTAGGTGATGTTCTGGCAATGAATTTCCCAGGTGTTCTTTGAGCTCTTGTATTTGGATGTCTAGGTCTCTAGCAAGGCTGGGGAATTTTCTTCAGTTATTCCCCCAAATATGTTTTCCAAACTTATAGATTTCTATTCTTCCTCAGGAACACCGATTATTCTTAAGTTTGATCGTTTAACATAATCCCAGACTTCTTGGAGGCTTTGCTTGTATTTTCTTATTCTTTTTTCTTTGTCTTTGTTGGATTGGGTTAATTTGAAGACCTTGTCTTTTAGCTCTGAATTTCTTTCTTCTACTTCTTCAATGCTATTGCTGAGACTTTCCAGAGCATTTTGCATTTCTATAATTGTGTCTGTTGTTTCCTGAAGTTTTGATTGTTTTTTATTTATGCTATCTATTTTCTTGAATATTACTCCCTTCACTTCTTGTATCGTTTTTTGGGTTTCCTTGCATAGAGCTTCGCCTTTCTCTGATGCCTCCCTGATTAGCTTAATACCTAACCTCCTGATTTTTCTTTCAGGTAAATCATGGATTTCTTCTTGGTTTGGGTTAATTGCTGGTGAGCTAGTATGATTTTTTGGAGGAGTTAAAGAACCTTGTTTTGTCATATTACCAGAGTTGGTTTTCTGGTTCCTTCTCAGTTGGTAGGCTTTGTCAGAGGGAAGTTCTAGGGCTGAAGGCTGTTGTTCAGATTCTTTTGTCTTACAGGGTGTTGTTCTCTTGATTTAGTATTATCCCCATTTTCCTATGGATGTGGCTTCCTGTGGGCCGAGCTGTAGTGACTGTTATCTATCTTCTGGATCTAGCCGCCCACCAAGTCTACCCAGCTCCAGGCTGGTACCAGGGGTTGTCTGCCCAGAGTCCTGTGATGTGAACCATCTGTGGATCTCTCATCTGTGGATACCAGCACATTATTTGGGGTGTCTCCTGGGTCCTGCAGGAGCAATCTGCTTCCTTCAGGGTCCTCTCTGGTTTTCAGATTTATTCCTACAGTCGTTCTGGAGCAAAAATTTGTGATGCAAACCTCCACACACTGCTCTGTCTGTCCAAGTTGGAGCTGCAATCTAGTCCTGCCTCCCATCCACCGTAATCCCTTCTCCTTTTTTTTTTTCTTTACGGAGGTGATCAAGTTACAACTGATTTTGATAGAAGCACCAAGAACACTCGTTGGGGAAAAGACAGTTTCTTCAGTAAATGTTGCTTGGAAAACTGAATATACATATGCAGAAGAAGGAAACTAGACTCCCACCTCTCACCCTAAAGAAAACTCAAAATGAATCAAAATCCTAAATGTAAGACCAAAAACTATAAAACTACTAGTAGAAAACATAGGGGAAATGCTTCAGGACGTTGGCCTGGGAAAAGATATTGTGAATAAGACCTCAAAAGCACAGGCTGGAAAAGCAAAAATAAACAAATAGGATTATATCAAATTGAAAAGCTTCTTCAGAGCAAGTGAAACAACCAACAGAGTGAAAAGACAACTCGTTGAATGAGAAAAAAATATTTGCAAACTATTTATCCAACAGGGATTAGTGTCCAGAATATATAAGAACACAAACTTCTCAACAGTAAAAAAACAAGACAAAACAAAAACAAACAACACACACACACACACACACACACACATACACAAACACAGTTCTATTAAAAGAAGGGGAAATGATCTGAACAGACATTTCTCAAAAGAAGACATATGAATGGCCAAAAACATACGAAAAATACTCAACATTAATCTTCAGAGAAATGTGAGTCAAACCACAATAGGCTATCATCTCATCCCAGTTCGGGTGGCTATCATCAAAAATACAAAAAATAACAAATGCTGGCAAGGATGTGGAGAAAAGGAAACTCTTATACACTGTTGGTGGGAATGTACACTAGTATAGCCACTATGGAGAGCAGTGTGGGGGCTCCTCAAGAATCTATTAAATAGAACTACAGCAATCTCACTTCTGGGCCTTTATCTGAAGGAAAGGAAATCCTGCACTCTCATGTTTATTGTAGCACCATTTACAATAGCCAAGATATAGAATCAACCTAGGTATCCAACAACAGATGAATACATAAAGAAAATGCAATATATATAGTTAATGAACTAATCAGCTATGAAAAAGAATAAAATCCTGTCATTGTGGCAAGATGGATGTTCTTATACATATACAGAAGCTAAAAAACGATCTCATAGAAGTAAAAATTAGAACAGAGCATATTGGAGGCTGGGAAGTAAAGGGGGAAGGGAAGGATAGGGGAAGATTTGTTAAAGGATACAAACTTACAGCTAAATATGAGAAATAAGTTCTAGTGCTCTATAACACTGTAGGATGACTATAGTTAGCAATAATATATTAGATAGTTTCAAATAGCTAAAGTAGGATATTGAACATTCTTAACACAAATAAATGATAAATGTTTGAGATGATGTATATACTGATTACCCTGATCTGATCACTATACTTTGTATGTATCATAACATCACTACATACTCCATGTATGTATAATTATTATATGTCAATTAAAAAACAAATGAAAAAATAAAAAATGCTAGTAAATAAATGATAATATTCAATATTATTTAAATTTATTTAACTTTATGAAATCTGGAATTTTAGCTTCTGGTTGTATGGAGGTCTAGATAACCTGGATGCCTTTCATACTAGAATAAAACTATTTGTTAAACTAAAAAAAAAAGTTTAAGAAAGACTTGACAATAAACCAAATAGTTCTAGAAAATATTTTGAGCATTAGTGAAAATAGTTAAAATTTGTAACCAATAAAAATAAAACTTCTAGAAACAATAATATTGAAGAAAAACAATGTTGTATGTAAGGTATGGGAGTAAAGTACAATGTGTTTTTATATGAAAAGCATGCAAGGAATGTAGAATGTGCTTTTGTTAAGGAAAAAAGCAGAATAATTTTGTCTTAAAGTAAAATGAGAAAAAGGGAAAGCGTAGGACAGAACCTGAATGAATCTAGAAAGTTGTAGAAAGTTTGCAAAAAGGGAATTTAATTTTGTGAGGGCAAAACTGGCTAAGATTAAATGGCTTTATTTGTAAGACTTTTTTTTTTTTTTTCCTCAGAGGTAGGGTCTCTCTCTGTCACCTAGGCTGGAGTGCAGTGGCGTGATCATAGCTTCATAGCTTATTGCAGCCTTGAACTCCTGGTCCCCAAGTGATCCTCCTGCTTTGGCCTCCCAAATTGCTGAGATTACCAGCGTGAGCCATTGTGCCTGGCCAGATTCTTTGGTTTGTTTGTTTTTATTGAGACAGAGTCTCCCTCTGTCACCCAAGGCTGGAGTGCAGTGGTGTGATTTCAGCTCACGGCAAGCCTCCCCCTTCCAGGTTCAAGTGATTCTCCTGCCTCAGCCTCCTAAGTAACTGGGACTACAGGTGTGTGCCACCATGCTTACATAATTTTTTTGTGCTCTTAGTAGAGACAGGGTTTCTCCATGTTGGCCAGGCTGGTCTTGAACTTCTGACCTCAGGTGTTCCGCCCTCCTTGCCTTCCCAAAGTGCTGGAATTACAAGGGTGAGCCACTGTGCCCAGGCTTTTTTTCTTTTTTAATTAGGAAAATAATGTATTGACACAAGACTAGAGTTTGATTTTCTCTCTGTTAAAATGATAAAGTTTCTTGGCTCATCAATCTGTTCTTAATAAGAGATAGAGGCTCATGCCTGTTAATCCTAGCACTTTGGGAGGCTGAGGTGGGTGGATCACTTGAGCCCAGGAGTTCTAGACCAGTGTGGGCAACATGGTGAAACCCCACCTTAAAAAAAAAAAAAAAAGATGATAAAAGGTTTCTGTTTAGCTTGGAAAACAAAGATTCTGTGTCTTTTTTTCTTTTTTTTTTTTTAAATTATTATTATACTTTAAGTTTTAGGATACATGTGCACAATGTGCAGGTTAGTTACATATGTATACATGTGCCATGCTGGTGTGCTGCACCCATTAACTCGTCATTTAGCATTAGGTATCCTAATGCTATCCCTCCCCCCTCCCCCGACCTCACAACAGTCCCCAGAGTGTGATGTTCCCCTTCCTGTGTTCATGTGTTCTTATTGTTCAATTCCCACCTATGAGTGAGAACATGCGGTGTTTGGTTTTTTGTCCTTGCCATAGTTTACTGAGAATGATGATTTCCAATTTCATCCATGTCCCTACAAAGGACATGAACTCATCATTTTTTATGGCTGCATAGTATTCCATGGTGTATATGTGCCACATTTTCTTAATCCAGTCTATCATTGTTGGATGGACATTTGGGTTGGTTCCAAGTGCTTGCTATTGTGAATAGTGCTGCAATCAACATACGTGTGCATGTGTCTTTATAGCAGCATGATTTATAGTCCTTTGGGTATATACCCAGTAATGGGATGGCTGGGTCAAATGGTATTTCTAGTTCTAGATCCCTGAGGAATCGCCACACTGACTTCCACAATGGTTGAACTAGTTTACAGCCCCACCAACAGTGTAAAAGTGTTCCTATTTCTCCACATCCTCTCCAGCACCTGTTGTTTTCCTGACTTTTTAATGATTGCCATTCTAACTGGTGTGAGATGGTATCTCATTGTGGTTTTGATTTGCATTTCTCTGACAGCCAGTGATGATGAGCATTTTTTCATGTGTTTTTTGGCTGCATAAATGTCTTCTTTTGAGAAGTGTCTGTTCATATCCTTTGCCCACTTTTTGATGGGGTTATTTGTTTTTTTCTTGTAAATTTGTTTGAGTTCATTGTAGATTCTGGATATTAGCCCTTTGTCAAATGAGTAGGTTGCGAAAATTTTCTCCCATTTTGTAGGTTGCCTGTTCACTGTGATGGTAGTTTCTTTTGCTGTGCAGAAGCTCTTTAGTTTAATGAGATGCCATTTGTCAATTTTGGCTTTTGTTGCCATTGCTTTTGGTGTTTTAGACATGAAGTCCTTGCCCATGCCTACGTCCTGAATGGTAATGCCTAGGTTTTCTTCTAGGGTTCTTATGGTTTTAGGTCTAATGTTTAAGTCTTCAATCCATCTTGAATTGATTTTTGTATAAGGTGTAAGGAAGGGATCCAGTGTCAGCTTTCTACATATGGCTAGCCAGTTTTCCCAGCACCATTTATTAAATAGGGAATCCTTTCCCCATTGCGTGTTTTTCTCAGGTTTGTCAAAGATCAGATAGTTGTAGATATGCGGCGTTATTTCTGAGGGCTCTGTTCTGTTCCATTGATCTATATCTCTGTTTTGGTACCAGTACCATGCTGTTTTGGTTACTGTAGCCTTGTAGTATAGTTTGAAGTCAGGTGGCATGATGCCTCCAGCTTTGTTCTTTTGCCTTAGGATTTACTTGGCGATGCGGGCTCTTTTCTGGTTCCATATGAACTTTAAAGTAGTTTTTTCCAATTCTGTGAAGAAAGTCATTGGTAGCTTGATGGGGATGGCATTGAATCTATAAATTACCTTGGGCGGTATGGCCATTTTCACAATATTGATTCTTCCTACCCATGAGCATGGAATGTTCTTCCATTTGTTTGTATCCTCTTTTATTTCATTGAGCCATGGTTTGTAGTTCTCCTTGAAGAGGTCCTTCACATCCCTTGTAAGTTGGATTCCTAAGTATTTTATTCTCTTTGAAGCAATTGTGAATGGGAGTTCACTCATGATTTGGCTCTCTGTTTGTGTGTTGTTGGTGTATAAGAATGCTTGTGATTTTTGTACATTGATTTTGTATCCTGAGACTTTGCTGAAGTTGCTTATCAGCTTAAGGAGATTTTGGGCTGAGACAGTGGGGTTTTCTAGGTATACAATCATGTCATCTGCAAACAGGGACAATTTGACTTCCTCTTTTCCTAATTGAATACTCTTTATTTCCTTCTCCTGCCTGATTGCCCTGGCCAGAACTTCCAGCAATATGTTGAATAGGAGTGGTGAGAGAGGGCATCCCTGTCTTGTGCCAGTTTTCAAAGGGAATGCTTCCAGTTTTTGCCCATTCAGTATGATATTGGCTGTGGGTTCGTCATGGATAGCTCTTACTATTTTGAGATACATCCCATTAATACCTAATTTATTGAGAGTTTTTAGCATGAAGCATTGTTGAATTTTGTCAAAGGCCTTTTCTGCATCTATTGAGATAATCATGTGGTTTTTGTCTTTGGCTCTGTTTATATGCTGGATTACATTTATTGATTTACGTATATTGAACCAGCCTTGCATCCCAGGGATGAAGCCCACTTGATCATGGTGGATAAGCTTTTTGATGTGCTGCTGGATTCGGTTTGCAAGTATTTTATTGAGGATTTTTGCATCAATGTTCATCAAGGATATTGGTCTAAAATTCTCTTTTTTGGTTGTGTCTCTGCCTGGCTTTGGTATCAGGATGATGCTGGCCTCATAAAATGAGTTAGGGAGGATTCCCTCTTTTTCTATTGATTGGAATAGTTTCAAAGGAATGGTACCAGTTCCTCCTTGTACCTCTGATAGAATTCGGCTGTGAATCCATCTGGTCCTGGACTCTTTTTGGTTGGTAAGCTATTGATTATTGCCACAATTTCAGATCCTGTTATTGGTCTATTCGGAGATTCATCTTCTTCCTAGTTTAGTCTTGGGAGGGTGTATGTGTCGAGGAATTTATCCATTTCTTGTAGATTTTCTAGTTTATTTGCGTACAGGTGTTTGTAGTATTCTCTGATGGTAGTTTGTATTTCTGTGGGATTGGTGGTGATATCCCCTTTATCATTTTTTATTGCGTCTATTTGTTCTTCTCTCTTTTTTTCTTTATTAGTCTTGGTAGCAGTCTATCAATTTTGTTGATCCTTTCAAAAAACCAGCTCCTGGATTCATTAATTTTTTGAAAGGTTTTTTGTGTCTCTATTTCCTTCAGTTCTGCTCTGATTTTAGTTATTTCTTGCCTTCTGCTAGCTTTTGAATGTGTTTGCTCTTGCTTTTCTAGTTCTTTTAATTGTGATGTTAGGGTGTCAATTTTAGATCTTTCCTGCTTTCTCTTGTGGGCATTTAGTGCTATAAATTTCCCTCTACACACTGCTTTGAATGTGTCCCAGAGATTCTGGTATGTTGTGTCTTTGTTCTCGTTGGTTTCAAAGAACATCTTTATTTCTGCCTTCATTTCGTTATGTACCCAGTAGTCATTCAGGAGCAGGTTGTTCAGTTTCCATGTAGTTGAGCGGTTTTGAGTGAGTTTCTTAATCCTGAGTTCTAGTTTGATTGCACTGTGGTCTGAGAGACAGTTTGTTATAATTTCTGTTCTTTTACATTTGCTGAGGAGAGCTTTACTTCCAACTATGTGGTCAGTTTTGGAGTGGGTGTGGTGTGGTGCTGAAAAAAATGTATATTCTGTTGATTTGGGGTGGAGAGTTCTGTAGATGTCTATTAGGTCCGCTTGGTGCAGAGCTGAGTTCGATTCCTGGGTATCCTTGTTAACTTTCTGTCTCGTTGATCTGTCTAATGTTGACAGTGGGGTGTTAAAGTCTCCTATTATTATTGTGTGGGAGTCTAAGTCTCTTTCTAGGTCACTCAGGACTTGCTTTATGAATCTGGGTGCTTCTTTATTGGGTGCATATATATTTAGGATAGTTAGCTGTTCTTGTTGAATTGATCTCTTTACCATTATGTAATGGCCTTCGTCTCTTTTGATCTTTGTTGGTTTAAAGTCTGTTTTATCAGAGACTAGGATTGCAACCCCTGCCTTTTTTTGTTTTCTATTTGCTTGCTAGATCTTCCTCCATCCTTTTATTTTGAGCCTATGTGTGTCTCTGCATATGAGACACACGCTGAATACAGCACGCTAATGGGTTTCCTGAATACAGCACGCTAATGGGTCTTGACTCTTTATCCAATTTGCCAGTCTGTGTCTTTTAATTGGAGCATTTAGTCCATTTACATTTAAAGTTAATATTGTTATGTGTGAATTTGATCCTGTCATTATGATGTTATGTGGTTATTTTGCTCGTTAGTTGATGCAGTTTCTTCCTACCATTGATGGTCTTTACAATTTGGCATGTTTTTGCAGTGGCTGGTACCAGTTGTTCCTTTCCATGTTTAGTGCTTCCTTCAGGAGTTCTTGTAAGGCAGTCCTGGTGGTGAGAAAACCTCTCAGCATTTGCTTGTCTGTAATGGATTTTATTTCTCCTTTGCTTATGAAGCTTAGTTTGGCTGGATTTGAAATTCTGGGTTGAAAATTCTTTTCTTTAAGAATGTTGAATATTGGCCCCCACTCTCTATTGGCTTGTAGAGTTTCTGCCGAGAGATCCGCTTTTAGTCTGATGGACTTCCCTTTGTGGGTAACCCGACCTTTCTCTCTGGCTGCCCTTAACATTTTTTCCTTCATTTCAACTTTGGTGAATCTGACAATTATGTGTCTTGGAGTTGCTCTTCTCGAGGAGTATCTTTGTGGCGTTCTCTGTATTTCCTGAATCTTAATGTTGGCCTGCCTTGCTAGATTGGGGAAGTTCTCCTGGATAATATCCTGCAGAGTGTTTTCCAACTTGGTTCCATTCTCCCCGTCACGTTCAGGTACACGAATCAGATGTAGATTTGGTCTTTTCACATAGTCCCATATTTCTTGGAGGCTTTGGTCATTTCTTTTTATTCTTTTTTCTCTAAACTTCCCTTCTCGCTTCATTTCATTCATTTCATCTTCCATCACTGATACCCTTTCTTCCAGTTGATCGCATCGGCTCTTGAGGCTTCTGCCTTCTTCACGTAGTTCTCGAGCCTTAGCTTTCAGCTCCATCAGCTCCTTTAAGCACTTCTCTGTATTGGTTATTCTAGTTATACATTCGTCTAAATTTTTTTCAAAGTTTTCAAGTTCTTTGCCTTTGGTTTGAATTCCCTCCTGTAGCTCGGAGTAGTTTGATTGTCTGAAGCCTTCTTCTCTCAACTGGTCAAAGTCATTCTCCGTCCAGCTTTGTTCCGTTGCTGGTGAGGAACGGCGTTCCTTTGGAGGAGGAGAGGCTCTCTGCTTTTTCAAGTTTCCAGTTTTTCTGTTCTGTTTTTTCCCCATCTTTGTGGTTTTATCTCCTTTTGGTCTTTGATTATGGTGATGTACAGATGGGTTTTTGGTGTGGATGTCCTTTCTGTTTGTTAGTTTTCCTTCTAACAGACAGGACCCTCAGCTGCAGGTCTGTTGGAGTTTGCTAGAAGTCCACTCCAGACCCTGTTTGCCTGGGTATCAGCAGCGGTGTCTGCAGAACCGCAGATTTTCGTGATCCACGAATGCTGCTGTCTGATCGTTCCTCTGGAGGTTTTGTCTCAGAGGAGTACCCGGCCGTGTGAGGTATCAGTCTGCCCCTACTGGGGGGTGCCTCCCAGTTAGGCTTCTCAGGGGTCAGGGGTCAAGGACTCACTTGAGGAGGCAGTCTGCCCGTTCTCAGATCTCCAGCTGCGTGTTGGGAGAACCACTGCTCTCCTGAAAGCTGTCAGACAAGGACATTTAAGTCTGCAGAGGTTACTGCTGTCTTTTTGTTTGTCTGTGCCCTGCCCCCAGAGGTGGAGCCTACAGAGGCAGGCCGGCCTTCTTGAGCTGTGGTGGGCTCCACCTGGTTCGAGCTTCCCGGCTGCTTTGTTTACCTAAGCGAGCCTGGGCAATGGCGGGCGCCCCTCCCCCAGCCTCGCTGCCGCCTTGCAGTTTGATCTCAGATTGCTGTGCTAGCAATCAGCGAGACTCCATGGGCATAGGACCCTCCGAGCCACGTGCGGGATATAATCTCCTGGTGCACCATTTCCTAAGCCCGTCGGAAAAGCGCAGTATTCGGGTCGGAATGGCCCGATTTTCCAGGTGCCATCTGTCACCCTTTTCCTTGACCTGGAAAGGGAACTCCCTGATCCCTTGCACTTCCCCCAGTGAGGCAATGCCTCGCCCTGCTTCGGCTGGCACACGGTGCGCTGCACCCACTGTTCTGCGCCCACTAGTGAGCGCAGAAGACTGTTTGTCTGGCACTCCCTAGTGAGATGAACCCGGTACCTCAGATGGAAATACAGAAATCACCCGTCTTCTGCGTCGTTCACGCTGGGAGCTGTAGACCGGAGCTGTTCCTATTCGGCCATCTTGGCTCCTCCCTGTCTTTTCAAAATAGTTTTCTGTGCTGTGTTGTTTTTATCATGTCTTCAATTTTTTAATTGAAAACATGTTATCTCCTATATTTATATTTGAGGTATTTTATGACCATTATTGTTAAATAGATAACTAAGTATTTTTTCACAATTACATATGATCTTATTTAATTGAATGTTCAAACCTTTTGACATTTTGGCTTTTCTTGACCTTGAAGTGAACTTGACGTTTCCTAGACAGCCCCTGGAAAACATCAAAGGATTTGTTTTCTTACCTTGTTAAAAGAGAGATGCTAGACTAGTTAGATTTATTATTTTTTTCACTAAATTCCCTGGGAAACATTGTCAAAGAAGAGAGATTATTTCAGAAGGAATATAAGGTTCCTAGAAATCATCAATGGTCTTCCTATTTAAGATATGTCCTCTATAATGTTATTGGTTAAAAGTTCAGTTATTATTTAAAATGTCATGTAATATAACAACCAAATTTCCTCATCAATTGTATTTTTATAATGAACTTTCACTAAATCTTTAACTATAGCCATCTTAAGTCTTGTCACCCACAGATAGTTATTTTACTCTTATGCTTTCCTAAGAGCTCTTACAGCTACAGAACACTTTAAAGAAAACTGTCTCAGAAACCCATGGAAAAGGACTATGTTACGTATTTTGAGATACAGATTTCTGATGGCTTTGCCTAAGTAATTTTGAGATCATACCAATGATCAAGATTTCCAAAACTCTAATAAAAATCTGATGAACTCATAAAATTGCTGTTTTAGTCAGTTTGGGCTGCTACAACAAATTACCATAGACTTGGCTGGGTTTGTCGGCTCATGCCTGTAATCCCAGCAGTTTGAGGGGTCAAGGCAGGTGGATCACCTGAGGTTGAGACCAGCCTGGCTAATGTGGAGAAACCCTGTCTCTACTAAAAATAAAAAAAATTAGCCAGGCCTGGTGGTGTGTGCCTGTAGTCCCAGCTACTCAGAAGGCTGAGGGAGGAGAATTGCTTGAACACAACAGGCAGAGGTTGCGCCGGTGCACTCCAGCCTGGGTGACAGAACAAGACTGTCTCAAAAAAAAAAAATTTACCATAGACTGGATGTTTTACACTATATAAACATTTATTTCTCATGGTTTGGTTGCTGGGAAGACCAAGACAAAGGTGCTGGCAGACTCAGTATCTGGTTAGGGCACTCTTTCTGGTTTGTAGATGATCATTTTCTTGTTATATCCTCACATGGCAGAGAGAGAGAGAGAGAGAGAGAGAAAGAGAGAAAGAGACAGAGTGTTTTCCCACAGCTCTCAAACCCCTTGCAGGAGAGGGAGCATGCAGGCAGACAGGTGCAGGAACCAGAGCAAATGAACGCTGGGACTGGCTGGTTGCTCCTCTCCGGGGAGAACAGGCTTTGTGCGGGTCCTGAAGCCACGTCCAAGCATGTGACAATGCTCTTTTAGCTCTGCTGTCCAGGAAGGGTTGTCTGTGACCCCTGGAGCCCCAGAGGGTGTGTGTTACAATCAGTGCTCTTTTAGTAGTTGCCATCAGTTGACGGCTAAGTGGAGGGTCAGGTTGACAGGTTTTACACCCTACCCTCTTAGTACCTGAGTTCTTGCCCAGGGTTCGGGAAGAATCAGGTCACATGAACGAATTGAAGGGTGGTGAATGTGAAGGACTTTACTGAGCAGTGGAAGTGACTCCAGAGGGAAGGGGAGCTTGAAAGGGGGTGGAGTGGGAAGATAATCTTCCCCTGGGGTCCCGTTGTCCCCAGCCGAACTCCTCTCTGACCATAGTCTCTAACGTCCAGCTGCTTCTTCTCCTCTCGATGTCCAGATATTTCTCTCTTCTGTGTGTATGTATGCTCTGAGTCTGGATTTGGGGCTCTTATGGGCACAGGATAGGTGGTGGTAGGGCTGGCCAAAAGGCAGCATTGCACAGGAAAACAGAACTAGTTCTTACTTTGGGTGGTGGGTCCAGGATTGAGGGTGGAGCCCTCGCCAGGGATCATGCCCTCTTCTACCCAGCATTTCCTTGCGTCCTGTCCATATCATCATCACACAGTTTTAAGGAACTATGGTTAACTTTATTAAATCAGTACTTAACAAAGCACTCTCAAAAAAACAAAAAAAAAACCCAAAAAACAAAAAACTAGGCTGGTACCTGGCTTACAGGTTTCCTAGCCTTACAGGTAGAGTAAGAAGGTTCACCTACTGGCAGGCCGAAGAACCTTAGGATATCCACTCAAAAAGACTGCGATTCACTCAAATCTGTAGATGCTACAGATGAAGACTAATGATAAATTCCTGGCTTGGCTTCATAGCCTCAAGAGGATTTTAAATGTCCAGCCTGAGATTTTTTAAAATAAAAAGTGTCATAAAGCATATCTAAAAAGGCCTATATGGTCAGTTACTATTCTTGTTGAACTTACCTAAATAATCAGGCCAAATTTAATGAGAAAAATATTTTATAAGCAATAATAATATTACTTTGATTATCTTTAATCAAAAAGGTTAACTATAGAGAAAAAATATGTTTTAATGAAATAATATAACATGCCCTTATGGTTATCAGATTATACTTCTACTTATTGCCTTTAAGGTTTTATTATCTACCTGTAAATTGAACTGATCCAGCGATTTTACACATTTTTTTCAGGCCTAACCAAATTCTCAATTTTTCTAGTTTCCTTCAATATCTAGTTATAACTCTCCAAATTGATGTTTCCAATTTTTCTCCCTCCCTCCTGGTTTGGCATCACTGAGAACTAAAACTTGACTGCCCAGATCATTATATAAGGACTCAGTTTGCCTTGTATCTACCCTTTCCCCAGGATCTGAAAAAGCCCTCTGCACTGAAGCCAGGCAAAGTGATATAAACTTCAAAGAACTCATTGCTACAACAAACCATGTATGAGCAACCTTTGTTCCAGGAGCTGGACTCCATGGGGCACTCAGAAATATCACAGGAACTCCCACATCTTCCAAACTCTGCTCCAGAAAATAGCTAAACTGTGAAACATTCAGACTGTAAACTGGGAACTCCATCGGGTGGCTCCTGCTGTCCTCACTCCACCATCTAAAAACACTGAGAGCTCAGTGTCTAGAAATCTCAGCTCACTGTCTTCTGGACTAAAAAACTGGGTTTATAGTCTGCTCCAAGCATTAATCTTTGTTTTTGTTTCCATAAAGATACCCCTCATTAAATGCCTGATTGCTTACACCATCCAGCAAATATCCTCTACTACTACGTCTCAGCAGATAATTCAGCTGTTCTTTAATAAACAAAAGGCAATTCTTTCTTCTCTCCTCAACCTTTATGATGAATTTAGTGTATATTCTATTAGTTCATTTTACTACATTTTTATGCAGCCTAAAACCTTAAACTCCTTATTTTTTAAACAATGTATGTATTATACTACACATATCTTTTTGCTGCCATTTATTTTACTTAGATCCATTTTGTAGATCTACCTCCCTGCTGATACATATATATCAATTTCATTCATGGAACTACTTTGAATATATATCATATTTTATTTGTCCACTACTGAGAAATCTTCTTTATGAAATCATTATTAACTTAGTTATTAGAGAAATTTTATCAAAATGATAAGTACTTATGTTTTACTGAAAATGCACTCCAATCCCTTTTTAAACACATCTTACCACCGTATCTTTCTGACAGCCATTTGATGATTGCTGACATATAATGATGAAGTCTACTTTCCCCTCCGTACTGAGTATCATGAGGTCTACGTGAATGTCAGAAGGCTTCAATTCCCCTGAAAACTGAAGTAAATTCTTGGAGGTCTTTTTCAGGAAGTGCTCATATACTGAAGGAAGTCTATGATTTTGATACACGAAGGAACTGAGGTATATAGTGTTTGCTCAGTCTCTGGATAGTAAATATTTCCCTCCTTCCTTCCTGCAATGAGATATTTAGTAAATAACCAAGTTTTATTTAAAATTTATAAATCCATGGTCCTCTTTGTCTTAACACCATTCTTTGATCAATCATTACATTTTCTTAATGCCTTGTGGTTATCAGAGTGATGAATTGAGCATATTTTTATGTCTCTTTGTGCAGAGTTTCAGTGTGAGGAACTGTGTGAAAGTTTCTACAGGATAAATACTGAGAAGTTGAATTGTTGGGTCATATGGTTTTAGTATTTTCAGTTTTTCCAAATACTGCCAACTTGTTCTCCTAGAGGCTATTATAATTTGTTCTACTTCTGTGTGTAAGGGTTTCCTTTTCTCACCATTTTTGCCAACAGTTGGCATTGTCAAGCGCTTAATGTATTTGGTAAAAGTGGTATGTTCTTGCTGTTTTTATTCATTTGATTTTATTATTTGTGACATTGTTCTCTATTCTGCACCACTGATCTATTTGGCTGGTCTTGTGTAAGTAATACACTATTTTAATTACTATAGTTTTATAACAAATATTGTTATCAGTATAAGCCTATGCTCTATCATGCAATACTGCATAATATAACTGCCTCAATGTCCTACTTTTTACTTTTACTTAGCTAATTCCAGTATCTTTTTTAATGCTTGTAAGCTTTTGGAAGTCAAGAAATGTTTATTAGGCATCACCTGTATACTGTAATAGGCTAAATACTGTTGCATATTTCTTAAAAGTACTTAGTACTTGTAATACATCCAGCAAGTTGATGAATGAATAACGTAGCAGATCTCTGTCAGGGTGAGTGATTGGAGACCTCATTAGGCTGTGGAACCTGCAAGGTCCTCTCCTAGCTTTACTGGAGTTCCTGGAAGGAGTGCTGTTAAAGCTGGTCCCTTAGTTCCTACTTTAGTTTCTGGAACATCATTCCAATGGGTCTTCTCTGCCCCAGAGTCAAGAGAATATTATTTATGGACTAGGGCAGAAAGGAACAATCTCTAAGTGATGCATAACATTGGGTATTTGCTGATTGCATCTTGTTTAGTGTACACAATTGAAAATGATGAATTAATAGAAGCATAGAGTGACCTGGATACAAAAAAGAGCAATGTGACAATTATCATAACATTATTATTTTATACTTACCTTGCCCGTTTTTATTAGGAGATTTATTCTTTTTTTTTTACTAGATTTTTTTATTATTATAATTTAAGTTCTAGGGTACATGTGCACAACGTGCTGGTTTGTTACATATGTATACATGTGCTGTGCTGGCTTGCTGCATCCATTAACTCGTCATTTACATTAGGTATTTCTCCTAATGCTACCCCTCCCCCAAGCCCCACCCCACGACAGGCCCTGATGTGTGATGTTCCCTGCCCTGTGTCCAAGTGTTCACATTGTTCAATTCCCACCTATGAGTGAGAACATGCAGTGTTTGGTTTTCTGTCCTTGCAATAGTTTACTCAGAATGATGGTTTCCAGCTTCATCCATGTCCCTACAAAGGACATGAACTCATCCTTTTTTATGGCTGCATAGTATTCCATGGTGTATATATGCCACATTTTCTTAACCCAGTCTATCATTGATGGACATTTGGGTTGGTTGCAAGTCTTTGCTATTGTGGATAATGCTGCAATAAACATATGTGTGCATATGTCTTTATAGTAGCATGATTTATAATCCTTTGGGTATATACCCCATAATGGGATTGCTGGGTCAAATGGTATTTCTAGTTCTAGATCCTTGAGGAATTGCCACACTGTCTTCCACAATGGTTGAACTAGTTTCCACTGCCACCAACAGGGTAAAAGCGTTCCTATTTCTCCAGATCCTTTTCCAGCACCTGTTGTTTCCTGACTTTTTAATGATCACCATTCTAACTGGTGTGAGATGGTATCTCATTGTGGTTTTGATTTGCATTTCTCTGATGATCAGTGATGATGAGCATTTTTTCGTGTGTCTTTTGGCTGCATAAATGTCTTCTTTTGAAAAGTGTCTGTTCATATACTTTGCCCAGTTTTTGATGGGGTTGTTTGATTTTTTCTTGTAAATTTGTTTGAGTTCTTTGTAGATTCTGGATAGTAGCCCTTTGTCAGATGGATAGATTGCAAACATTTTTTCCCATTCTGTAGGTTGCCTGTTCACTCTGATGGTAGTTTCTTTTTGCTGTGCAGAAGTTCTTTAGTTTAATTAGATCCCATTTGCTTTTGAATATGTTTGCTCTTGCTTCTCTAGTTGTTTTAATTGTGATGTTAGGGTGTCAATTTTAGATCTTTCCTGGTTTCTCTTGTGAGCATTTAGTGCTATAAATTTCCCTCTACACACTGCTTTAAATGTGTCCGAGAGATTCTGGTACGTTGTGTCTTTGTTCTCATTGGTTTCAAAGAACATCTTTATTTCTGCCTTCATTTCGTTATTTACCCAGTAGTCATTCAGGAGCAGGTTGTTCAGTTTCCATGTGGTTGTGTGGTTTTGAGTGAGTTTCTTAATCCTGAGTTCTAACTTGATTGCACTGTGGTCTGAGAGACAGTTTGTTACGATTTCTGTTCTTTTACATTTGCTGAGGAGTGCTTTAATTCCAACTATGTGGTCAATTTTGGAATAAGTGTGATGTGCTGAGAAGAATGTATATTCTGTTGATTTGGGGTGGAGAATTCTTGCAGATGTCTATTAGGCCTGCTTGGTGCAGAGCTGAGTTCAAGTCCTGGATATCCTTGTTAACCTTCTGTCTCATTGATCTGTCTAATATGGACAGTGGGGTGTTAAAGTCTCCCATTATTATTGTGTGGGAATCTAAGTCTCTTTTTAGGTCTCTCAGAACTTGCTTTATGAATCTGGGTGCTCCTGTATTGGGTGCATATATATTTAGGATAGTTAGCTCTTCTTGTTGAAGTGATCCCTTTTTCATTATGTAATGGCCTTCTTTGTCTCTTTTGATCTTTGTTGGTTTAAAGTCAGTTTTATGAGACTACGATTGCAACCCCTGCTTTCAATTTGCTTGGTAGATCTTCCTGCATCTGTTTATTTTGAACCTACCTGTGTCTCTGCATGTGAGATGGGTCTCCTGAATACAGCACACTGATGGATCTTGACTCTTTATCCAATTTGCCAGTCTGTGTCTTTTAATTGGGGCATTTAGCCCATTTACATTTAAGGTTAATATTGTTTTGTGTGAATTTGATCCTGTCATTATGACGTTAGCTGGTTATTTTGCTCGTTAGTTGATGCAGTTTCTTCCTAGCATTGATGGTCTTTACAATTTGGCATGTTTTTACAGTGGCTGGTACCGGTTGTTCCTTTCCATGTTTTGTGCTTCCTTCAGGAGCTCTTGTAGGGCAGGCCTGGTGGTGACAAAATCTCTCAGCATTTGCTTGTCTGTAAAGGATTTTACTTCTCCTTCACTTATGAAGCTTAGTTTGGCTGGATATGAAATTCTGGGTTGAAAATTCTTTCCTTTAAGAATGTTGGGGGGGGGCGGTTCCAAGATGGCCGAATAAGAACAGCTCCAGTCTACAGCTCCCAGTGTGAGCAATGCGGAAGATGGGTGATTTCTGCATTTCCAACTGAGGTACCAGGTTCATCTCACTGGGGCTTGTCAGAGAGTGGGTGCAGGACAATGGGTGCAGCCCACCGAGTGTGAGCCAAAACAGGGTGAGGCATCGCATCACGCGGGAAGCCCAAGGGGTCAGGGAGTTCCCTCTCCTAGCCAAGGGAAGCTGTGACAGAAGGCACCCGGAAAATTGGGTCACTCCCACCCTAATAGTGTGCTTTTCTAATGGTCTTAGCAAATGGCACACTAGTATATCCCACACCTGGCTCGGGGCATCCCACGCTCACGGAGCCTCGCTCATTGCTAGCACAGCAGTCTGAGATTGAACTGCCACGTGGCAGCGAGGCTGGGGGAGGTGCGCCTGCCATTACTGAGGCTTGAGTAGGTAAACAAAGCGGCCAGGAAGCTCGATCTGGGTGGAGCCCACCACAGCTCAAGGAGGCCTGCCTGCCTCTGTAGACTCCACCTCTGGGGGCAGGGCATAGCCAAACAAAAGGCAGCAGAACCTCTGCAGACTTAAATGTCCCTGTCTGACAGCTTTGAAGAGAGTAGTGGTTCTCCCAGCATGGAGTTTGAGATCTGAGAATGGACAGACTGCCTCCTCAAGTGGGTCCCTGACCCCTAAGTAGCCTAACTGGGAGGCACACCCCAGTAGGGGCAGACTGACACCTCATACGGCTGGGTACCCCTCTGAGACGAAGCTTCCAGAGGAACGATCAGGCAGCAACATTTGCTGTTCAGCAATATTCGCTGTTCTGCATCCTCTGATGCTGATACCCAGGCAAACAGGGTCTGGAGTGGACCTCCAGCAAACTCCAACAGACCTGTAGCTGAGGGTCCTGACTGTTAGAAGGAAAAGTAACAAACAGAAAGTACATCCACACCAAAACCCCATCTGTACGTCACCATCATCAAAGACCAAAGGTAGATAAAACCACAAAGATGGGGAAAAAACAGAGCAGAAAAGCTGAAAATTCTAAAAATCAGAGTGCCTCTCCCCCTCCAAAGGAATGCAGCTCCTCGCCAGCAATGGAACAAAGCTGGACGGAGAATGACTTTGACGAGTTGAGACAAGAAGGCTTCAGACGATCGAACTTCTCTGAGCTAAAGGAGGAAGTTCGAACCCATTGCAAAGAAGCTAAAAACCTTGAAAAAAGATGAGACGAATGGCTAACTAGAATAACCAATGTAGAGAAGTCCTTAAAGGACCTGATGGAGCTGAAAATCATGGAACAAGAACTACGTGATGAATGCACAAGCCTCAATAGCCGATTCGATCAACTGGAAAAAAGGGTATCAGTGATTGAAGATCAAATGAATGAAATGAAGTGAGAAGAGAAGTTTAGAGAAAAAAGAGTAAAAAGAAATGAACAAAGCCTCAAAGAAATATTGGACTATGTGAAAAGACCAAATCTACGTTTGATTGGTGTACCTGAAAATGACGTGGAGAATGGAACCAGCTGGAAAACACTCTTCAGGATATTATCCAGGAGAACTTCCCCAACCTAGCAAGGCAGGCCAACATTCAAATTCAGGAAATACAGAGAACGCCACAAAGATACTCCTTGAGAACAGCAACCCCAAGACACATAATTGTAAGATTCACCAAACTTGAAATGAAAGAAAAAATGTTAAGGGCAGCCAGAGAGAAAGGTCAGGTTACCCACAAAGGGAAGCCCATCAGACTAACAGTGGTTCTCTCGGCAGAAACTCTACAAGCCAGAATAGAGTGGGGGCCAATATTCAACATTCTTAAAGAAAAGAATTTTCAAACCAGAATATCTTATCCAGCCAAACTAAGCTTCATAAGTGAAGGAGAAATAAAATCCTTTATAGACAAGCAAATGCTGAGAGATTTTCTCACCACCAGGCCTGGCCTACAAGAGCTCCTGAAGGAAGTGCAAAACATGGAAAGGAACAACTGGTACCAGCCAATGCAAAAACATGCCAAATTGTAAAGTCCATCAATGGTGGGAAGACACTGTATCAACTAACGAGCAAAATAACCAGCTAACATCATAATGACATAATCAAATTCACACAAAACAATATTAACCTTAAATGTAAATGGGCTAAGTGCTCCAATTAAAAGACACAGACTGGCAAATTGGATAAAGAGTCAAGACCCATTAGTGTGCGGTATTCAGGAGACCCATCTTACGTGCAGAGACACACATAGGCTCAAAATAAAGGGATGGAGGAAGATCTACCAAGCAAATGGAAAACAAAAAAGGCAGGGGTTGCAATCCTAGCCTCTGATAAAACAGACTTTAAACCAACAAAGATCAAAAGAGACAAAGAAGGCCATTACAATCAAATTAGAACTCAGGATTAAGAAACTCACTCAAAACTGCTCAAATACATGGAAAATGAACAACCTGCTCCTGAATGAGCACTGGGTATATAACAAAATGAAGGCAGAAATAAAGCTGTTCTTTGAAACCAATGAGATCAAAGCACAACATACCAGAATCTCTGGAACACATTTAAAGCAGTGTGTAGAGGGAAATTGATAGCACTAAATGACCACTAGAGAAAGTAGGAAAGATCTAAAATTGACACCCCAATATCACAATTAAAAGAAATAGAGAAACAAGAGCGAACATATTCAAAAGCTAGCAGAAGGCAATAAATAAGATCAGAGCAGAACTGAAGGAGATAGAGACACAAAAAACCCTTCAAAAAAATCAATGAATCCAGAAGCTGGTTTTTTGAAAAGATAAAAAAAATTAATAGACCACTAGCAAGTCTAATGAAGAAGAAAAGAGAGAAGAATCAAATATATGCAATAAAAAATAAAGGGGATATCACCACTGATCCCACAGAAATACAGACTACCATCAGAGAATTCTATAAACACCTCTATGCGAATAAACTAGAAAATCTAGAAGAAATGGATAAATTCCTTGACACATACACTCTTCCAAGACTAAACCAGGAAGAAGTTGAATCCCTTAATAGACCGATAACAGGCTCTGAAATTGAGGCAATAATTAATAGCCTACCAACCAAAAAGAGTCCAGGACCAGATGGATTCACAGCCAAATTCTACCAGAGGTACAAGGAGGAGCTGGTACCATTCCTTCTGAAACTATTCCCATCAATAGAAAAAGAGGGAATCCTTCCTAACTCATTTTTTGAGGCCAGCATCATTCTGATACCAAAGTGTGGCAGAGACACACCAAAAAAAGAGAATTTTAGACCCATATTCCTGATGAACATCGATGCAAAAATCCTCAACAATATACTGCCAAACCGAATCCAGCAGCACATCAAAAAGCTTATCCACCAAGATCAAGTGGGCTTCATCCCTGGGATGCAAGGCTGGTTCAACATACGCAAATCAATGAATGTAATCCAGCATACAAACAGAACCAAAGACAAAAACCACATGATTATCTCAATAGATGCAGAAAAGGTCTTTGACAAAATTCAACAGCCCTTTGTGCTAAAAACTCTCAATAAATTAGGTATTGATGGAATGTATCTCAAAATAATAAGAGCTATTTATGAGAAACCCACAGCCAATATCATACTTGAATGGGCAAAAACTGGAAGCATTCCCTTTGAAAACTGACACAAGACAGGAATGCCCTCTCTCACCACGCCTATTCAACATAGTGTTGGAAGTTCTGGCCAGGGCAGTTAGGCAGGAGAAAGAAACAAAGGGTATTCAACCAGGAAAAGAGGAGGTCAAATTGTCCCTGTTTGCAGATGACATGACTGTATATTTAGAAAACCCCATCGTCTCAGCCCAAAATCTCCTTAAGCTGATAAGCAACTTCAGCAAAGTCTCAGGATACAAAATCAATGTGCAGAAATCACAAGCATTCTTATACACCAATAACAGACAAACAGAGAACCAAATCATGAGTGAACTTTCATTCACAATTGCTTCAAAGAGAATAAAATACCTAGGAATCCACCTTACAAGAGATGTGAAGGACCTCCTCAAGGAGAACTGCAAACCACTGCTCAATGAAATAAAAGAGGACAGAAACAAATGGAAGAACATTCCATGCTCAGGGATAGGAAGAATCAATATCGTGAAAATGACCATACTGCCCAAGGTAATTTATAGATTCAATGCCATCCCCATCAAGCTACCAATGACTTTCTTCACAGAATTGGAAAAAACTACTTTAAAGTTCATATGGAACCAGAAAAGAGCCCCCATCGCCAAGTCAATCCTAAGCCAAAAGAACAAAGCTGGAGGCATCACGCTACCTGACTTCAAACTATACTACAAGGCTACAGTAACCAAAACAGCATGGTACTGGTACCAAAACAGAGATATAGACCAATGGAACAGAACAGAGCCCTCAGAAATAATACCACACATCTGCAACCATCTGATCTTCGACAAACTTGACAAAAACAAGCAATGAGGAAAGGATTCCCTATTTAATAAATGGTGCTGGGAAAACTGGCTAGCCCTATGTAGAAAGCTGAAACTGGATCCCTTCCTTATACCTTATACAAAAATTAATTCAAGATGGATTAAAGACTTACATGTTAGACCTAAAACCATAAAAACCCTAGAAGGAAACCTAGGCAATATCATTCAGTACATAGGCATGGGCAAGGACTTCATGTCTAAAACACCAAAAGTAATGTCAACAAAAGCCATAATTGACAAATGGGATCTAATTAAACTAAAGAGCTTCTGCACAGCAAAAGAAACTACCATCAGAACAAACAGGCAACCTAAAGAATGGGAGAAAATTTTTGCAATCTACTCATCTGACCAAGGGCTAATATCCAGAATCTACAAAAACTCAAACAAGTTTACAAGAAAATAACAAACAACCTCATCAAAAAGTGGGCAAAGAATATGAAGAGAGACTTCTCAATAGAAGATATTTATGCAGCCAACAGACACATGAAAAAATGCTCATCATCACTGGCCATCAGAGTAATGCAAATCAAAACCACAATGAGATACCATCTCACACCAGTTAGAACGGTGATCATTAAAAAGTCAGGAAACAACAGATGCTGGAGAGGATGTGGAGAAATAGGAACACTTTTACACTGTTGGTGGGACTGTAACCTGGTTCAACCATTGTGGAAGACAGTGTGGTGATTCCTCAAGGATTTAGAACTAGAAATACCATTTGACCCAGCCATCCCATTGCTGGATATATACCCAAAGGATTATAAATCATGCTGCTATAAAGACATATGCACACATATGTTTACTGCAGCACTCTTCACAATAGCAGAGACTTGGAATCAACCTAAATGTCCATCAATGATAGACTGGATTAAGAAAATGTGGCACATATACACCATGGAATACTATGTAGCCATAAAAAAGGATGAGTTCATGTCCTTTGTAGGGACATGGATGAAGCTAGAAACCATCATTCTGAGCGAACTGTTGCAAGGACCAAAAACCAAACACCGCATGTTCTCACTCATAGGTGGGAATTGAACAATGAGAACACTTGGACACAGGGCGGGGAACATCACACATCGGGGCCTGTCATGGGGTGGTGGAGGGTGGAGGGATAGCATTAAGAGATATACCTAATGGAAATGACGAGTTAATGGATGCAGCACACCAACATGGCATATGTATACATATGTAATAAACCTGCACGTTGTTCTCATGTACCCTAGAACTTAAAGTGTAAAAAATTAAAAAAGAATATTGAATATTGGCCCCCACTGTCTTCTGGCTTGTAGAGTTTCTGCTGAGAGATCTGCTGTTATTCTGATGGGCTTCCCTTTGTGGGTAACCTGACCTTTCTCTCTGGCTGCCCTTAGCATTTTTTCCTTCATTTCAAGTTTGGTGAATCTTACAATTATATGTCCTGGGGTTTCTCTTCTCGAGGAATGTCTTTGTGATGTTGTCTGTATTTCCTGAATTTGAGTGTTTGCCTGCCTTGCTAGGTTGGGGACGTTCTCCTGGATAATATCCTGCAGAGTGTTTCCAGCTTGATTCCATTCTCCCCATCACTTTCAGGTACACCAATTAGACATAGATTTGGTGTTTTCACATAATCCCATATTTCTTGGAGGCTTTGTTCATTTCTTTTTACTCTTTTTTTTTCCAACTTCTCTTCTCACTTCATTTCATTCATTTGATCTTCAATCGCTGATACACTTTCTTCCACTTGATCAAATCGGCTACTGAAGGTTGTGCATGTGTCACATAGTTCTCGTGCCGTGGTTTTCAGCTACATCAGGTCGTTTAAGGTCTTCTCTACACTGCTTATTCTAGGTAGCCATTCATGTAATCTTTTTTCAAGGTTTTTAACTTCCTTGCGATGGGTTCAAACATCCTCTTTTAGTTTGGAGAAGTTTGTTATTACCGACTTTCTGAAGCCTACTCCTGTCAACTCGTCAAAGTCATTCTCTGTCCTGCTTTTTTCCATTTCTGGCGAGGAGCTGTGATCCTTTGGAGGAGAAGGGGTGCTCTGGTTTTTAGAATTTTCAGCTTTTCTGTTCTGGTTTCTCCCCATCTTTGTGGTTTTATTTACCTTTGGTCTTTGATGTTGGTGACCTACAGATGGGGTTTTGGTATGGATGTCCTGTTTGTTGATGTTGATGCTATTCCTTTCTGTTTGTTAGTTTTCCTTCTAACAGTCAGGTCCCTCAGCTGCAGGTCTGTTGGAGTTTGCTGGAGGTCCACTCCAGACCCTGTTTTCCTGGGTATCACCAGCAGAGGCTGCAGAACAGCAAATATTGCAGAACAGCAAATGCTGCCTGATCCTTCCTCTGGAAGCTTCCTCTCAGAGGGGCCCCTGGCTGTATTAGGTGTCAGTTGCCCTTACTGGGAGTTACTACTACTTCCATTTAGGCTACATGGAGGTCAGGGACCCACTTGAGGAGGCAGTTTGTCCGTTCTCGGAGCTCACTGTGCTGGGAGAACCACTGCTCTCTTCAGAGCTGTCAGACAGGGATGTTTAAGTTTTAGAAGTTTCTGCTGCCTTTTTTTCAGCTTTGCCCTGCCCCCGGAGGTGGAGTCTACAGAGGCAGGCGGGCCTAGTTGAGCTGCCGTGAGCTTCACCCAGTTCAAGCTTCCTGGCCGCTTTGTTTACCTACTCAAGCCTCAGCAATGGCGGACACCCTCCCCCAGCCAGGCTTGCCGCCTCGAAGTTCGATCTGGGACTAGCAAAGATCAAGTCACCATGGGTGTGGGACCTACTGAGCCAGGCATGGTATATAATCTCCTGGTGTACTGTATGACAAGACCTTTGGAAAAGTGTAGTGTTTAGGTGGCACTGTCCTGATTTTCCCGGTGCAGTCTGTCAAGGCTTGCCTTAGGTAGGAAAAGGAAATCCCCCAAACCCCTTGCGCTTCCCGGGTGAGACGATGCCTTGCCTTGCTTTGGCTCACCCTCCGTGGGCTGCACCCACAGTCCCAATGAGATGAACGAGGTACCTCAGTTGGAAATGCAGAAAACACCCTTCTTCTCTATCACGCTGGGAGCTGCAGACTGGAGCTGTTCCTATTTGGCCATTTTGGAATGAACTAGTAATTCAGTTTAATAAAATGCGGAAGACCTGCCTTTGAGTCCTGACCCCCACAGTTTCTCCACTGCAAATCTGTCTTGGGATGATATAGCACGTTTTCAGTAGCTAACTTAAATAATGTTAAATAGCCCTACATTTGACACATTGGTTTTCTGTATCTTCTTATTAATCAGGACAGCCATATGGCACCACCAAGACTTTCAGAATACTGCAGAGACTCCATGAGTTAAACCTTGGTAATTCTATAAGTTTAAATATCTGTGCTATATTTTCCTCAAGTCTGTTTTTGGGGGAGAAGGCATTACTGGCTGGATTTACTTCTTACTTTAGTATCTATTTTTGGAGAGCTGGATGCACTATGTTCTAAATTGATGAAATAGTTCTAGTTTAAAGAACTTTCTAGTTGTAAGGACTTTTATTAAAAAGAGCAAGGCAGGTATTGCGATCAAATTTTTGTTTCAGCCCTTGTAGTGGTCTCTTGGAAATTGGGGTATTTTGTATTATTGAACAAAAATATCACGGAGGGACTCACAGTTAATGAGGTGGAGTCCCTAGTAGTGGAGGAATGGCTTTTACCCAGAAAATGGAAAAACAAAGAAAGGATCAAAGAAAGACTTTGAGGAAATATTTTTCTGGATTTTTGAATGGCAGTATGAGGGGGTCAAACAACCACAATTTTCAGAGCTATCCCTGAAGTCCCTGTCTAAGATGGATTTATAGAGGAATCCCTCTTTTTTTTTTTTTGAGTAACAAAATAGTGTGTATGATGTAACTTGGGGATCATTTTAAACAAATGCTACAAAAAGACTTTCCAGAAAAATACAATGAAAAAATAGCAACAAGTCATCCTCAGAAATATTACCCAGAGGATGGAGCAATGAAGAAAGGTAGTTGAGTTCTTCTCACTACATTTTTGTATCCAAAGAGCAGTGAGAAGTTTGAATCACTACTTTGCCTGAAATCATCCCAGACTCACTGTCCCCACTATTTATATCTTGCTGGAGAATAAATAATTTTGCATTCTTATTATGTTCTGGTCAAAAACATTTAAAAAATGAAGGAAAAAAAATCCTCCTGTACCAAGATTTATTCTTACATAAATAACCTTAATTGCACTAGTAATTCAAGAGTCTTAGGTCTATAAAATTAACTGAATAATTGTGTTAGATTGCTAAACAATTTAAATGTGTTTGTATATATAAATTTTACAAAGTATGCAAACACTATAATATATGAGGTTAGGTTTTAAGAGGCTGATCAATGTAATTTCTTTTCCAGTATCGACATTCCAATAGAACACACTTTATAATGCAAGCCAAGGATCATTTGTGTACAATGCCTCATCATCCCTAAAAGGTTTTTATTTTGAGTTTGCTGGTGTATAAAATGTATTGTTTTTTGGAGGAAAAAACAGAAAATTTCTCTTAACAAATATGTTATTCTATGTTTTAATTTTGGTTAGCACTTTAGACTCTATAGCACACTTTAACATACATCATTTTCATAGAATCCTTTCACTGATTCATTAGGGTTTATTTAATCTTTTGTAGAGAAGAAAAGATTGAGACTCAGATAGCTGTGTGTGATTTTCCCCAAGGTCACATGACTAGGTAGTGGAGGATTCAGGGAGGACGAAAGCCACATGTTTTGGCTCCTGATTTTTCCATACTGCATTTTTTTTATGGGGGTGGGGGTGTGTTTTGAAGAATCCCTGTACATTAATTCAGCAGTAAAAGACCTCTCTTTGAAACATTTTTTGCATCTTCTGCATTTCTTTGGGGCGTTAAAGATTCAGGGGCCGGGCGTGGTAGCTCACACTTGTAATCCCAGCACTTTGGGAGGCTGAGGCGGGTGGATCACCTGAGTTCAGGAGTTCGAGACCAGCCTGACCAACATGGTGAAACCCTGTCTCTACTAAAAATACAAAAATTAGCTGGGCGTTGTGGCCATTGCCTGTAATCTCAGCTACTTGGGAGGCTGAGGCAGGAGAATCGCTTGAACCCGGAAGGCAGAGATTGCAGTGAGCCGGATTTCACCATTGCACTCCAGCCTGGGCAACAGAGCAAGACTCCATCTCAAAAAAAAAAAAAAATTTCAGGAGACATCTATTGACTCAGAGCACAGAAGGTAGAGCTTTAAAAGGACTTAATAGATTTTAAGAAATAGAGATTGTCTTTGTGATGAAGAAAACTACTTATAATGTAAACAACTAACATTGTTTTTCTCTCTTTAGCTCAGCAAGCGAAATGAAGAGTGGGATTATGTTGCCAAAAAATATGCCTAAAACTCAGCTTCAGGGTATATAGCAGGGATTTAAGGAGGAATACATTCCAAATCTCAAAATTATGTATCATGTTTGTCACTGTAAACAACTAAAAATACTCAAAAAACCTCTGTGTTTCTAACACTAAAATCATTATTATTAATACACACTATGTGTACCTTTATATATTTTGTCTTCTTTCATGAAAATGAAACACCCTCATAATTTATTATTATCCCTTTGAATAGACTTTCTACTCCTATCTGTTGCTCTACCTCCTCTTTAAGGTCAATAATTCTCAAATTTGTGCTTTTGAGGTTACTTTCCAAACCCTGTAGGCATGGTTTATTGTTATTTTATTATTTTTCTTTTGTCTCCTCTGTGTATTTTTAAATAGCCTGTCTTCAAGCTCACTAATTCTTTCTTTTGCATTCTTCAGTATGTCAACTGCATTTTTCAGCTCTAGAATTTCTGCTTGATTCTTTTTAATTATTTGAATCTCTTTGTTTAATACATCTGATAGTATTCTGAATTTTTTCTCTTTGTTATCTTGAATTTCTTTGAGTTTCCTCAGCACAGCTATTTTGAATTTTCTGTCTGAAAGGTCGTATATCTCTGTTTCTCCAGGAGTGGTCCCTGATGCCTTGTTTAGTTCATTTGGTGAAGTTATATTTTCCTGGGTGGTGTTGGTGCTAGTAGATGTTCTTTGGTGTCTGGGCATTGGAAAGCTAGGTATTTACTGTAGTTTTCACTGTCTGGGCTTATTTGTAGCTGTCCTTCTTGGGAAGGCTCTCTAGATATTTGAAAGGATGTAGGTGTTGTGATCTATGCTGTATGTGCTGTAGGGGGCACCCCAAGCCTAGTAATGCTGTTGTTCTTGCAGACTCGTAGAGGTACCTCCTTGATGGTCTTGCACAAGATCTGGGAGAATTCTCTGGATTACCAGGCAGAAATATTTATTCTCTTCCCTTACTTCCTCCCAAACAAACAGAGTCTCTCCCTCTCTATGTTCTGAGCCAGCTAGAGCTGGGGATGAGTGACACGAGTATCCCTGTGGCCACCACCACTATGACTGTACTGGGTCAGACCTGAAGCCATCACAGCATTGGGTCTTGCCCAAGTCCTGCTGTAACCACTGCTGGATACTTGCCTATATTCTCTCAAGGCCCTGGGGCTCTACAATCAGCAGGTGGCAAATCCATCCAGGCCTCTGTCTTTCCTTTCAGGATGGCAAGTTCCCCCATTTCCCTGGTGGGTCCAGAGGTACTGTCCAGGAGTCAGGGACTAGAGCCAAAAACCTTAGATGTCTACCCGGTGTTCCACTGTACTGTGGCTGAGCTGACACTCAAACCACAAGACACAGTACTTCCCACTCTTCCTTCCCCTTTCCAAAGGCAGAGGAGCCTCACCCCATAGCCACCACCACCACAGGCCACAGGGTGTGCTGCCAGACTACCGATGATGTTTACTGAAGGCCCAAGGGCTCTTAAGTCAGCTTGTGGTGTATGCTGCCTGGCCTGGGACTCACCCTTCAGGGCAGTGCTCTTCCCTTTGGCCCAGGGAAAGTCCAGAAATGCCATCCGAGAATCAAGTCTTGGAATCAGGGACCCTAAGAGCCCGCTTGGTGCTCTACCACCCTATGTCTGAGCTGGTACCTAAGGTGCAAGAAAAAGGCCCATTTGCTTTTCCTTCTGCTTTTCTCAAGCAAAGGAGTTTCATCCCATAGCCACCACAGTTAGTAATGTGCTGAGTCTCACCTGAAGCCCGTAAGTCTCAGAGATTTACCCAAGGCCCTTGACATAGTACCTGGGTATCACTGCTGATCATTTAGGGCCCAAGGGCTCTTCAGTTAGCAGCCAATGAATGCTGCCAGGATTGGGTCCTTTCCTTCAAGGCAGAGGATTCTCTTCTGGCCCAGGGTATGTCTAGAAATATTATCTGGGAGGGAGGGCCTGGAAGTGGGCCTCACGACTCTGACCAGTGCTTTATCCTGCTGTGGCTGAGCTGGTATCCAAGATGTAAGACAAAGTCCTCCCTGCTTTTCCTTCTCCTCTCAAGTGGAAGGAAGGGGTCTAGTTTGGAGCTGTAAGCTGTGCAGCCTGGGGTTAGGGGAGGGGTGATGACACACCACACTGCAGCTGCCAGAGGTGAGGAAGGGGTGGCATAAGGAATTCAGGGCCGTTTTTCTATCTCTTTGGTGCCCCTTTGAGGAATATGAAGTAAAACCAGGTACTATGAAGGCTCACCTATTTTTTGATTCTTATAAAGTTTTTTTTTTTTTTTTTTTTTTTTGAGATGGAGTCTCACTCTGTTGCCCAGGCTGGAGCGCAGTGGCGCCATCTCGGCTCACTGCAAGCTCCGCCTCCCGGGTTCAAGCCATTCTCCTGCCTCAGCCTCCCAAGTAGCTGGGACTACAGGCACCTGCCACCACTCCCGGCTAATTTTTTTGTATTTTTAGTAGAGATGGGGTTTCACTATGTTAGCCAGGATGGTCTCGATCTCCTGACCTCGTGATCCTCCCGCCTCAGCCTCCCAAAGTGCTGGGATTGCAGGTGTGAGCCACTGTGCCCGGCTAAAGTTTTTTTGTTTTTTTAGATGTAGTTTTGCTCTATTGTAGCCCAGGCTGGAGTGTGGGGGCACAATGTTGACTCACTGCAACCTCTGCCTCCCAGATTCAAGTCATTCCCTGTCTCAGCGCCCCATGGTGCCCAGCTAACTTTTTGTATTTTTAGTAGAGATGGGGTTTCACCATATTGGCCGGGCTGGTCTCGAACTCCTAACCTCAGGTGATCCACCCACCTCAGCCTCCTAAAGTGCTGGGATTACAGGCATAAGCCACCGTGCCCCGCTTTAGATAGTTGTTAACTTGTCCTTGTCAGGGGGAAAATCAGTGGAGCCTTCTACTCCTCCATTTTGCTCTGCCTCTCTCCCAAAGGAATTTAAGAAGTGATTTTGTATTAATTTTCTATTGCTGTGTAACAAATGACCACAAAGTTAAAACCCACCGAGTTATCTCCTGGTTTCTGTAGATCACAAATCCCAGTGTGGCATCACTGAATTCTCTGCTCCAGGTCTCATAAGGCTGGAAGTAAGGTGTCAACCAGTACTATGTTCTCATTTGTAGCTTGGGGGTGCTCTTACAAGCTCATTTAGGTTATGAACAGAATTCAGTTTCTTGTGGTTGTAATAAGACTGAGGTCCTAATTTTCTTGCTGACTGACTGGGAGTTGCTATTAGCTGTTCGGGGCCATCCTCATGTCCTAATCACATGGCCCCATCCAAAGGCAATTCATGATGTAACTATTTATTTTCTTCCAGGACAGCAGAAGAGCTCACTGATGCTTCCAGTATCTTTCAAAGGGCTCACCTAATTAGGTCAGTCCCACCCAGAGTAATCTCCCCTTTGATTAACTTAACATCACCTGACTAGGGGATTTCATTATATCTGCAAAAATCTCTTTTGTCACATAATGCAGTGTAATCCTGGGTATAAAATCTTGTATTCACAGGTTCTGGTGACATTTCAAGATTATGCATGATGGGTATTCTAGAGAGCAGGAATTTTATGGGCAATTTAGGAGGCTCTGTGATCCAGATGTCCAGGCTCAAGTATACTCACTAGAAAGGATATTACTCTCTATTTTTAGCTCTTATTCTTAAAAAAAAAATGGTTCTAATCTTCTTGTTACAGCATTCTGTGGGCGTTTTTTCTCTTTCCTACCTCTCATCCTATGTCAAGTCTGTAGTGATATTCCTTTCCTTCCTTCATTCCAATGTAGAAAATGACAGTCCTGCCCGATCAGCATGTTTTATCCCATCACTAGTGACTTATTTAGAGATGAATACATGACAAGACCAAATCAGTTAGAGAGATTTCTGGGAGTTTGGTTTGGTTGGAATTATTGAAAATTAGAAGCTCTCTTTTTTCACTGGGAGTGTTAGATGTAGGATAAGACAATGCTGGAATTGCCTGGGATACCACATTAGAGACCTTTCTAAGGTCTGGAGAAATCAAAGTCAAGGATGGTGAAGGAGTCCTGATGACATTGTTGGAGGTCATTCATGTTTGAAGCCAGGTCTACTTGTACTCCTTTCAGTTGTGCAAATCAATATTACAGTAACTACTACTACCATTACTACTGCCACCACTACTACCACCACCACCATTATTATTTCTATTATTATTTGGATTAAAATCTGTTTCTATCAAATGAACTCAACAACTCTAAAATTTTTCCTAAATTTTCTTAGGAAAGTCCAGTGTAAGGATGCTATGTATATGGAGATCCAGAAACAGTATTTTTTTTTTTTTTTGAGACAGAGTCTCGCTCTGTTGCCTAGGCTGGAGTGCAGTGGTGCAGTCTCGGCTCACTGCAACCTCTGCCCCCTGGGTTCAAGCGACCAGAAACAGTATGTTCAAGAAGCCTCATGAATTTCAGCTGGAATGACTGAGCACAGCATACTTATTTGGTATGTCTTTTCCCCCTAGAATATTCCCCCCAAATATTCCAAATAAGGAATCATATTTTGTGAACAACCAAAACCGAAGGATTTATGACAATGTTAAGGTGGGGGTCTGATGACTCTGAAATTTGCAGGGCAGGCTTGCCGGCTGGAAATTCAGGCAGGGTTTTCATGTGGTAGTTTTGTGCAGAATTCCTTTTATGTCAGGGAACCTCAGTTTTTGCTCATAAGGTTTCCAACTGATTGGATGAGGCCCATGTACATTGTGGAGATTAATCTTTTTTTCTTAAGGCAGGTGGATCACTTAAGCCCGGGAGTTTGAGAGCAGCTCGGACAACATAGCAAGACCTTGTCACTACAAAAATTAACTAATTTTGCCGAGCATCATGAGATGTGCCTGTAGTCCAAGCTACTCAGGAAGCTGAGGTGGGACGATTGCTTAATCCCAGGAAGCTGAGGCTGCAGTGACCAAATCGCACCACTGCACTCCAGCCTGGGTGACAGAGTGAGACCTTGTCTCAAATAAATAAATAAATAAATAAACGGAGTATTCTATTAAACAAATACCTTCACAGCAACATTTAGACTGGTGTTTGAAGAACTGTGTACTTATAGCTTAGCCAAGTTGATGAAGTTAATCATCACAATAGTAAATGAGATACTTAATATTATTTTATCTTTTCTTATCTGTACTTTAAGTAAAACAAGAATGGTTACAAAACTGAGAAGTTTTGATTGTTCTCATTATCTGAAATTATTCATCTCATACTTGCTGAAGATGTCCTAGTATTATTCATGAGAAAACTTTTTCTCTTTTTATCTTCTCTAAGTACATTTTGTTCATCTCTCCAGTAGTAAAGCTGACAGCTATAGATGAAAGATAATCTGAGATATTACAAAAATCTGAGATACCTTACCTAATTCTGTTAGAGCAGTAAGCCAAAATGATACAGATAGAATCTAGGAAAATAGTAATGAAGACTCAGTATATTTTTCTAATCCTCATTTTATAGGTGAGGAAATTGAGGCCCAGGAAATTAAATAATTGGTCCGCAGTTATCCAGTTTTTTTTTTTTTTTTTAGACTGAGTCTCACTCTGTCGCCCAGGCTGGAGTGCAGTGGTGCGATCTCGGCTCACTGCAACCTCGGCTCACTGCAACCTCCGCCTCCCGGGTTCACGCCATTCTCCTGCCTCAGCCTCCCGAGTAGCTTGGACTACAGGCACCTGCCACTATGTATTTTTAGTAGAGATGGGGTTTCCCCATGTTAGCCAGGATGGTCTCAATCTCCTGATCTCGTGATCCACCCACCTCGGCCTCCCAAAGTGCTGGGATTACAGGTGTGAGCCACCGCACCCAGTCACACAGTTTTAAGTAATGGAATTGGGGCTAGCATTCAGCTCATTTGACCTCAGCTATATTTTTAAAATATTACATTGTCTCTACAATAAATATTTTCCATTTTTACATTCTAATGTATATTTTGTTCCTAACTGATGTTTTTATAGGCTTTGTCTTTTTAGAGATTATTCATGGAAGCTTTTTTAGAAGACAGAGGCCTTAAATTATAGTGTAGGTGCCCAAAAATATTTGTTTTGTTGAAGAATACATTTTTGTACAAATACTCCATGTCAGGCCTACTGCTAATAGCTCAGAGACCCTAATTGGGAGCAGAGTAATAGCAGAGTTGATTGCTCTCACAGCATTCTGTGATTATCTTCATTAGAGTCCTTAATCAAGTCATGGTGCTATTTTCTCTTCAGTCTCCCTTTTCTCCTACTAAATTATAGGTCTGTGTGCCCCTTAAGAGAACCTTTTCTGTCTTAGAAATCACAATAAAAGCTTTGTGTTTCAGCATTCAGAATCTGACACTGGTCAGTGCTTAACATGTGGTTATTGAAGAAAAGAAAGAAGAAAGGAAGGGGAGGGTGAATACATATATTTTTCTTAATGAAGAATTGATACCTAGGTTGTAGGCTAAGCCTGTGAAGCAATCACCCTGAGCAAGTTTCTTAATCTCAGCCCTAGTTTCTTCATTTATACAATAGGGATACAAATGCTTATATTACTTACATCACTGAGTTGTGATAATAAAACAATGTGAAAGAAAGCACTTTGAAAAGCAAACAATGAAAACTTTTTTCGGAGGTTCCAAGATGGTCAAATAGGAACAGCTCCAGTATACAGCTCCCAGTGTGAGTGATGCAGAAGACGGGTGATTTCTGCATTTCCAGCTGATGTACCGGGTTCATCTCACGGGGGCTTGTTGGACAGTGGGTGCAGGACAGTGGGTGCAGCCCACGGACTGTGAGCTGAAGCAGGGTGAGGCAAAGTGCAAGGGATCAGGGAATTCCCTTTCCTAGCCAAGAGAAGCCCTGACAGATGGGACCTGGAAAATCGGGTCACTCCCACCCTAATACTGCACTTTTCCAATGGTCTTAGCAAACGGCACACCAGGAGATTATATCACGTGCCTGGCTTGGAGGGTCCCACACCCACGGAGCCTCACTCATTGCTAGCACAGCAGTCTGATATGGAACTGCAAGGCAGCAGCAAGGCTGGGGGAGGGGCGCCTGCCATTGCTGAGACTTGAGTGGGTAAACAAAGCTGGCGGGAAGCTTGAACTGGGTGGAGCCCACCACAGCTCAAGGAGGCCTGCCTGCCTCTGTAAACTCCACCTCTGGGGGCAGGGCATAGCTGAACAAAAGGCAGCAGAAACTTCTGCAGACTTAAACGTCCCTGTCTGACAGCTTTGAAGAGAGTAGTGGATCTCCCAGGACGGAGTTTGAGATCTGAGAACAGACAGAGTGCCTCCTCAAGTGGGTCCCTGTCCCCGAGTAGCCTAACTGGGAGGCACCTCCCAGTAGGGGCCAACTGACACCTCATACGGCCGGATGCCCCTCTGAGACGAAGCTTCCAGAGGAACGATCAGGCAGCTACGTTTGCTGTTCTGTAGTATTTGCGGTTCTGCAGCCTCCGCTGGTGACACCCAGGAAAACAGGGTCTGGAGTGGACCTCCAGCAAACTCCAACAGACCTGCAGCTGAGGGTCCTGACTGTTAGAAGGAAGACTAACAAACAGAAAGGGCATCCGCACCAAAACCACATCTGTATGTCACCATCATCAAAGACCAAAAGTAGATAAAAACACAAAGATGGGGAGAAACCAGAGCAGAAAAGCTGAAAATTCTAAAAATCAGAGTGCCTCTTTTCCTCCAAAGGAATGCAGCTCCTTGCCAGCAACGGAACAAAGCTGGACGGAGAATGACTTTGACGAGTTGAGAGAAGAAGGCTTCAGACAATCGGTAATAACAAACTTCTCAGAGCTAAAGGAGGATGTTTGAACCCATCACAAAGAAGCTAAAAACCTTGAAAAAAGATTAGATAAATGGCTAACTAGAATAACCAGCACAGAGAAGACCTTAAATGACCTGATGGAGCTGAAAACCATGGCAGAGAACTACGTGATGCATGCACAAGCTTCAGTAGGGGATTTGATCAAGTGGAAGAAAGGGTATCAGTGATTGAAGATCAAATGAATGAAATGAAGTGAGAAGAGAAGTTTAGAGAAAAAAGAGTAAAAAGAAATGAATAAAGCCTCCAAGAAATACGGGACTATGTGAAAAGACCAAATCTACGTCTGATTGGTGTACGTGAAAGTGATGGGGAGAATGGAACCAAGTTGGAAAACACTCCGTAGGATATTATCCAGGAGAACTTCCCCAATCTAGCAAGGCAGGCCAACATTCAAATTCAGGAAATACAGAGAACACCACAAAGATACGCCTCGAGAAGAGCAACTCCAAGACACATAATTGTCAGATTCACCAAAGTTGAAATGAAGGAAAAAATGTTAAGGGCAGCCAGAGAGAAAGTTCAGGTTACCCATAAAGGGAAGCCCATCAGACTAACAGCAGATCTCTTGGCAGAAACTCTTACAAGCCAGAAGAGAGTGGGGGCTAATATTCAACATTCTTAGAGAAAAGAATTTTCAACCCAGAATTTCATATGCAGCCAAACTAAGCTTCATAAGTGAAGGAGAAATAAAATCCTTTATAGACAAGCAAATGCTGAGAGATTTTCTCACCACCAGGCTTGCCTTACAAGAACTCCTGAAGGAAGCACTAAACATGGAAAGGAACAACTGGTACCAGCCACTGCAAAAACATGCCAAATTGTAAAGACCATCAATGGTAGGAAGAAACTGCATCAACTAACGAGCAAAATAACCAGCTAACATCATAATGACATGATCAAATTCACACAAAACAATATTAACCTTAAATGTAAATGGGCTAAATGCTCCAATTAAAAGACATAGACTGGCAAATTGGATAAAGAGTCAAGACCCATCAGTGTGCTGTATTGAGGAAACCCATCTCACGTGCAGGGACATACATAGGCTCAAAATAAAAGGATGGAGGAAGATTTACCAAGCCAATGGAAAACAAAAAAAGGCAGGGGTTGCAATCCTAGTCTCTGATAAAACAGACATTAAACCAACAAAGATCAGAAGAGACGAAGGCCATTACATAATGGTAAAGGGATCAATTCAACAAGAAGAGCTAACTATCCTAAATATATATGTACCCAATACAGGAGCACCCAGATTCATAAAGCAAGTCCTTAGAGACCTACAAAGAGGCTTAGACTCCCACACAAATATCATGGGAGACTTTAACACCCCACTGTCAACATTAGACAGATCCACAAGACAGAAAGTTAACAAGGATATCCAGGAATTGAACTCAGCTCTGCACCAAGCGGACCTAATAGACATCTACAGAACTCTCCACCCCAAATCAACAGAATATACATTCTTCTCAGCACCACATCACACTTACTCCAAATTGACCACATAGTTGGAATTAAAGCACTCCTCAGCAAATGTAAAAGAATAGAAATTATAAGAAACTGTCTCTCAGACCACAATGCAATCAAACTAGAACTCAGTATTAAGAAACTCACTCAAAACTGCTCAACTACATGGAAACTGAACAACTTGCTCCTGAATGACTACTGGGTACATAACAAAATGAAGGCAGAAATAAAGATCTTCTTTGAAACCAATGAGAACAAAGAGATAACATACCAGAATCTCTGGGACACATTTAAAGCAGTGTGTAGAGGGAAATTTATAGCACTAAATGCCCACAAGAGAAAGCAGGGAAGATCTAAAATTGATGTCCTAACATCACAATTAAAAGAACTAGAGAAGGAAGAGCAAACAAATTCAAGAGCTAGCAGAAGTCAAGAAATAACTAAGATCAGAGCAGAACTGAAGGAGACAGAGACACAAAAAACTCTTCAAAAAATCAATGAATCCAGGAGCTGGTTTTTTGAAAAGATCAACAAACTTGATACACAGCTAGCAAGACTAATAAAGAAGAAAAGAGAGAAGAATCAAATAGACACAATAAAAAATGATAAAGGGGATATCACCACCTATCCCACAGAGATACAAACTGCCATCAGAGAATACCATAAACATCTCTACACAAATAAACTAGAAAATCTAGAAGAAATGGATAAATTCCTGGACACATACACCCTCCAAAGACTAAACAAGGAAGAAGTTGAATTCCTCAATAGACCAATAACAGGCTCTGAAATAGAGGCAATAATTAATAGCCTACCAACCAAAAAAAGTCCAGGACCAGACGGATTCACAGCTGAATTCTGCCAGAGATACAAAGAGGAGCTGGTACCATTCCTTCTGAAACTATTCCCATCAATAGAAAAAGAGGGAATCCTCCCGAATTCATTTTATGAGGCCAGCATCATCCCGATACCAAAGCCTGGAAGAGACACAACAAGAAAAGAGAATTTTAGGCCAATATCCCTGATGAACATCGATGCAAACCTCCTCAATAAAATACTGGCAAACCGAATCCAGCAGCACATCAAAAAGCTTCAAAGTTGGCTTCATCCCTGGGATACAAGGCTGGTACAACCTACACAAATCCATAAAGGTAATTCATCACATAAACAGAACCAAAGAGAAAAACCATATGATTATCTTAATAGATGCAGAAAAGGCCTCTGACAAAATTCAACCACCTTCATGCTAAAAACTCTCAATAAATTAGGTATTGATGGGACGTATCTCAAAATAATAAGAGCTATTTATGACAAACCGACAGCCAATATCATACTGAATGGGCAAAAACTGGAAGCATTCCCTTTGAAAACTGGCACAAGACAGGTATGCCCTCTCTTGCCACTTCTATTCAACATATTTTTGGAAGTTCTGGTCAGGGCAATCAGGCAGGAGAAGGAAATAAAGGGTATTCAATTAGGAAAAGAGAAAGTCAAATTGTCCCTGTTTGCAGATGACATGATTGCATATTTAGACAACCCCATCATCTCAGCTCCAAATCTCCTTAAGCTGAAAATCAAATTCAGCAAAGTCTCAGGATACAAAATCAGTGTGCAAAAATCACAAGTATTCCTATACACCAATAACAGACCAACAGAGAGCCAAATCATGAGTGAACTCCCATTCACAATTGGTACAAAGAGAATAAAATACCTAGGAATCCAACTTACAAGGGACGTGAAGGACCTCTTCAAGGAGAACTACAAACCACTGCTCAAGGAAATAAAAGAGGACACAAACAAATGGAAGAACATTCCATGCTCATGGATAGGAAGAATCAATATTGTGAAAATGGCCATACCGCCCAAGGTAATTTATAGATTCAGTGCCATCCCCATCAAGTTACCAATGACTTTCTTCACAGAATTGGAAAAAACTACTTTAAACTTCATATGGAACCAAAAAAGAGCCCGCATTGCCAAGTCAATCCTAAGCCAAAAGAACAAAGCTGGAGGCATCATGCTGCTTGACTTCAAACTATACTGCAAGGCTACGGTAACCAAAACAGCATGGTACTGGTACCAAAACAGAGATATAGACCAATGGAACAGAACAGAGCCCTCACAGATAATACCACACATCTACAACCATCTGATCTTTGACAAACCTGACAAAAACAAGAAATTCGGAAAGGATTCCCTAATTAATAAATGGTGCTGGGAAAACTGGCTAGCCCTATGTAGAAAGCTGAAACTGGATCCCTTCCTTACACCTTATACAAAAATTAATTCAAGATGGATTAAATACTTAAATGTCAGACCTAAAACTATAAAAACCCAAGAAGAAAACCTAGGCAATACCATTCAGGTCATAGGCATGGGCAAGGACTTCATGTCTAAAACACCAAAAGCAATGGCAACAAAAGCCAAAATTGACAAATGGGATCTAATTAAACTAAAGAGCTTCTGCACAGCAAAAGAAACTACCATCAGAGTGAACAGGCAACCTACAGAATGGGAGAAAATTTTTGCAATCTACTCATCTGACAAAGGGCTAATATCCAGAATCTACAAAGAACTTAAACAAATTTACAAGAAAAAATCAAGCCCATCAAAAAGTGGGTGAAGGGTATGAACATATGGTTTTCAAAAGAAGACATTTATGCAGCCAACAGACACATGAAAAAATGCTCATCATCAGTGATCATCAGATAAATGCAAATCAAAACCACAATGAGATACCATCTCACACCAGTTAGAACGGCGATCATTAAAAGGTCAGGAAACTGCAGGTGCTGGAGAGGATGTGGAGAAATAGGAACACTTTTACACTGTTGATGGGACTGTAAACTTGTTCAACCATTGTGGAAGACAGCGTGGCAATTCCTCAAGGATCTAGAACTAGAAATACCATTTGACCCAGCAATCCCATTACTGGATATGTACCCAAAGGATTATAAATCATGCTGCTATAAAGACACTTGCACATGTATGTTTATTGCAACACTATTCACAATAGCAAAGACTTGGAACCAACCCAAATGTCCATCAATGATAGATTGGATTAAGAAAATGTGGCACATACACACCATGGAATACTATGCAGCCATAAAAAATGAGGAGTTCATGTCCTTTGCAGGGACATGGAAAGCTGGAAGCCATCATTCTTAGCAAAGTATCACAAGGACAGAAAACCAAACACCGCATGTTCTCACTCATAGGTGGGAATTGAACAGTGAGAACACTTGGACATAGGATGGGGAACATCACACACTGGGGCCTGTCATGGGGTGGGGGGAGGGGGGAGGGATAGCATTAGGAGATATACCTAATGTAAATGACGAGTTAATGGGTCCAGCACACCAACATGGCACATGTATACATATGTAACAAACCTGCACGTTGTGCACATGTACCCTAGAACTTAAAGTATAATAATAGTAATAAAAAAAGAAAACTTTTGTCAATGCTTTTATCATTTTGGAATCAATGAAAACTTTTATATTAAACAATGAAAACTTTTATCGAAGAAATTAAAATTGTTTCTTTCCTGAAGAGACCTCTTGAAATGTCAATATCAACTGCCTGAGACTTCTCTAAAGATTTTCTTAATGATTAAACTGACAATAAAATTGGAATGGGATGATGTGTGTGCTGTAAGGAGGGCCTCACTCCACCCAATCAATTAATAGATTTTGTTCTTAAAATCCATTTCTGTTCTACTTGGATATAAAATATTAGGAATCTTTGTTCCTAATATTTTCTTTTTAGGAAATAAATTCCTGAATTAATTATCTCAAAATATATTTTATGGCTTTATTTTTGATTATAGAAAGAAACTGTTAACTGTAAAAAACATAGAAATTATAGAAGAGATTAAATCCAATGAGTCTATTTCCTGAAAAACAGTTTATATTTTATAATATTTTTGTATTATGTATGTAAGTGTGTATGTAATGTATATGTCTATGTGTATCTATGTGTGTATGTATATATGTATATGTGTATATACACACATACATGATTCAGACCATACTTTTTATTGTAGAAGTTTGGAACATACAAAAAGGATGAAAGAAAGATAATAGTGATTTATTTACTTAAAATTTTTTCTACTTTTATTTTACATACAGGGGTACATGTGCATATTTATTACATGGGAATGTTGTGTGGTGCTCAGGTTTGGAGTATGAATCCTTTCACCCTGTTAGTGAGCATAGTATCTGATAGGTATTTTTTAAACCTGCCTTCTAGTAGTCCACAGTGTCTATTTTTCCCACATTTATGTCCATATGTGCTCAATGCTTAGCTCTCACTTATAAGTGAGAACATGCAGTATATGATTTTCTGTTCCTGCACTAATTTGTTTAGGATTATGACCTCCAGCTACATTGCAAAGGACATGATTTCATTCTTTTTTATGGCTGTGTAGTATTCCATGGTGTATATGTAACACATTTTCTTTATCAAATTCACCATTGAGGGCCAGGTTGATTCCATATCTTTGCTATTGTGAATAACACTGCAATGAATGCACAAGTGCATGTGTCTTTTGGCAGAATGATTTATATTCCTTTGGGTATATACCCAGTACTGGATTGCTGGGTTGAATGGTAGCACTCTTTTAAGTTCTTTGTTTTTTTTTTTTTGAAACTGAGTCTCACTCTGTTGCCGAGGCTGGAGTGCAGTGGTGCGATCTTGGCTTACTGCATCTCTACCTCCTGGGTCAAGTGATTCTCCTGCCTCAGCCTCCCGAGTAGCTGAGATCACAGGCATGTGCTACCATGCCCGGTTAGTTTTTTTGTATTTTTAGTAGAGAGGGCATTTCACCATGTTGGCCAGGCTGGTCTTGAACTCCTGACCTCAAATCATCCGCCCACCTCGGCCTCCCAAAATGTTGAGATTACAGGTGTGAGCCACCTCGCCCGGCCTGTTTTAAGTTCTTTGAGAAGCATCCAGACTACTTTCCGCAGTGGCTGGACTAATTTACATTCCTACCAACAGTTTATAAGCATTCCCTTTTCTCTGCATCCTTGCCAACATCTGCTGTTTTCTGACTTTTTGATAAAAGCAGTTCTGACTGGTGTGGAAATTGTATCTCATTGTGGTTTTGACTAGCATTTCTCTGATGATTAGCGGTGCTGAGCATTTTTTTCATATGTTCGTTGGCCACTTATATGTCTTTGTTTGTCGTTTGCGTTTTTTTTTTAAATGGGGTTGTTTTTTGCTTGTTGATTTGCTTAAGTTCCCTATAGTTCTATACGCCCAAAGATTTTATGTCTTTGTCAGATACATAGTTTGTGACTATCTTCTCCAATTCTGTAGGTTGTCTGTTTGCTCCGTTGAGAATTTCTTTTGCTGTGCAGCAGCTTTTTAGTTTAACTAAGTCTCACTTCTCTATTTTTATTTTTGTTGCAATTGCTTTTCGTGACTTAGCCAGAAATTCCTTGCCAAGGCTGATGTTGAGAAGAGTATTTCCTAGATTGTTTTCAAGAATTTTTATAGTTTGAGGTATTACATTTAAATAATTCTATTAAAAACTTTTTAAATGTTAGATTTAGGAGGTACATGTGTAGGTTTGTTACATGAATATGTTGCATAATGCTGGGGTTTGGGCTCCTATTGAACCTATCCTTCAAATAGTGAACATAGTATCTAATAGGTAATTGTTCAACTCTTGCCCCAGCCCTCTCTTTCTTCTTTTGAAGTCCCCAATGTCTATTGTTTTCATCTTTGTGTCCATATGTACCCATTTTTTAGCTCCTACTTATAAGAGAACTTGCAGTATTTGATTTGATTTTCTGTTTCTGCATTAATTCACTTAGGATAATGGTCTCCAGCTGTATTGATGTTGCTGCAAAGGACATGACTTTATACTTTTTTATGGCTGTGTAGTATTCTATGATGTATATGTCCCACATTGAAAGAAAATAATTCTTAATCCCTCCTACCAAAGGTTTTTAATCTTACCTATTAAAATTCTTCCAGGCTTTTTCTTTTTAATACACATACAATATGAGTAAGTGTTTAGAATCCTTGATGGAATATTCAGTATTTGTGACTTCACTCTGAATTCACATTTCCAGGAGGAAAAGTTTGAATACCTTCATCTTAGATTGGCAAGAGAAGGGGGATAATAGTCTCACCAAAAGGAATAGAAGTGTAAGTCCTGAAAAGAAAAAAAAAAAACGTGATTTTATCAGAAGAAGGAGAAGATAGTGTAGTGGACAATCATAGACAATAGATGCTCACTTCAGTACCTAGGTATGTATATATTTTAAATGATATTCTAGTGTTCCATATTTTGTTCCTTTTTGTTTTCTTTTTAGTAATTTTTCTATTGTGGCAATATATAATAATATAAAATTTACCATTTTTAATGTTTTAGGGCCATTAAGTACATTCACATTGTTGAGTAACCATCACCACTATTCATCTGCAGAACTTTTAAATCATCCATACTGGAATTCTATACTTATTAAATAAAAATGCCCTCTTTGCCTCTACGTTCTTTATGAATTTGACTATTCTAGGTATATCTTACGAGTGAAACCATGAATATTTACTTTGTATCTGTCTCATTTCACTTCACTTAATGTCTTCAAGGTTCATCCTTGTTGCATGTATGTAAATTTCACTTTTTTTTTCTTTTTTTAAGAGACAGGGTCTCGCTGTGTTGCCCAGGCTGGTCTTGAACTCCTAGGCTCAAGCAGTCCTCCTGCCTTGGCCTCACAAAGTGCTGGGATTACAGATGTAAGCCACCATGCCTGAACTAAATTTCACTTTTTATCTTTTCTACAGTAAGATTATATTTTGTGTGTGTGTGTGTGTGTATACATACATATACATATATATATATATGCCATGCCATATTTTGTTTATTCATCTGGTACAATTTGGGATGTTTTTGTCCTTTGGCTATTGTGAATAATGCTGCTATGAACATTGCTGCACAAAGATCTGTTTGAGTCCCTGCTTCCAGTTTCATGATGTATATACCCAGAAGTAGAATTATTGGATCTTATTACAAATCTATGTTTAATTTTTGAGAGAACATCATTTTCTGCAGCAGCTGCATCATTTTACATTTCGAACAGCAATGCATAAAAATTCTAATTTCTCCACATCTTTGCTAACACTTGTTGTTTTCTGTTTTTTGATAATAGCCATCCTAATGAGTGTAAGGTGGTACCACATTTGTTTTATATTTTATTCAGTTTTTAATATGTCAAACTTTATAATTACATGTTATTTAACTTTTCTAAACAAGTTAGTTTTCATTTGTGACATAGTATTTTATCATATAGATACAAATAATGTATTTAATTAATCATTTATTTGCTGATATGTATATTATACATATTCTAGATTCTTTCTATTCTGTTTTTTTTTTCAGTCTTAAATCTGATTTTGTAAGAAAGCCTAATGTTCTGTCCTTTTGTGTTCCAAGGAATGAGTAGTATATGTGTGTGGGTATGTCTGTGAGTGTATGTCTGTATGGTTGGCAGGTGCAGGGTGGGTGGTGGTGATAATTTTAGCCACTTGCCTCGATCTTCTTTAAAATGTTCATGCTCAAGGTCTTAAAATATACATTTTATGATGAAAGTGTTAATTATCTGTCATATAAAATTTTCATTGTCTTTCCTTTTAAGTTATATATGTTTTGTTGGGCCCTTTCTTGGACTGGAGTTTTTGAGAAACAGACTCTGAGAGAGATTTGCATACAGGAGATTTATAGGGAAGTACCCTAAGCAACAAAATATGTGAGTGAGTCTGAGGAGAGTAGGACTGTTTTTCACATTGAGCAGGCCAGTATGAAGGATGCTTCAGGGGATCATCTGTGTATCAGATTACAGAATGATTCACAAGCATATTACCATGCAATACAAAGACTTTGACACATTGTGTTCATTCCTCTATGTCAATCCACATGCCTCTTTTCCAGACTTCCCTGTACCAGACATCCAGGGGTTTTTTCCTTCTATGTGTTGATTAACCAGTAAAGTCCTTTGCCATTGCTCATGAAACTATATATATATATATGTGTATGGGCCACTTTTCATTCCACACAAAGCAGATGGCTGGGTACACCTGCTGAAGCTCTGCCCATTGTGAGAAATTTTCTTTTTTGCTTTTTTTTTTTTCAAAGTCACCTCTGAGTGAGATGTAGCAGCTGTCAATTTTCAACTTGTGCTCACCTACTGAGTCAGTCTTTTCATGAATGAAGAATTTTTAGTATTTCTAATTCATCTAATGTATCGCTTTCTTGTGCATCTCAGGCCATCTGAGTGGCATGTTAGACCATCTCCCAGTGTTCTTGCAGGATGTTAAATCCTGCTTCACAGGATAGTACTCCCATATTGATAAACTCTCTCTTACCAACTGTATGTTCCAAGACTCCTTGTTCTAGCCCCTTTAGATCCAGTTCTACATATGCTCTCCATGCTCCTGCTATTGAATGTGTCATATAACCCGTATTCTAGGCAACCTAGTTCAAGAGTGCCTTGGTCCTGAAGGAGATCTGAGCTGCATGTCACAGGCTCTCTTTTATATGAGGGTCATCTTTCATTGATCATTATTTTTCTGCATAAAGGAGCACATTTATATTATAATAACCATAGTTTCCCTTTACTGAGAACCTACTATGTACTACATTATGTGTCTATTAATTAATGATTTACTAACTTTACTAATTTTTACACATACTCTTCCAGGTAAGTATGCTATAATTTTACAAATGTGGTAACTAAAGTTTAGTGAAGTAGTCATTTACTCATGGTCACAGACATAGCTAGTGTTTAAACTGAGGTCAAAATAACTTCAAAACCTATACTTGTGCCCTGCATTGCTTGAGATAAAGTTTCACTGTTTTAAAACAAATTAATTGTGGGTCTAGTCTTCAATTAACAGGGCAGTAAGGAAAACAATATTAGTTTTTATTTGGGGCTCCTCCATATGGTTCTATAAGACTTGAGTTGGGGCAAGTTGTGATGAGTAAGTGATCTGATCCATAGCCCAGCATGTCTTGATCATTACCACAGTTTAGTCTGCTGCACAATACTTTGCACATACTTGTCTTCTGTTATTTTTCTGGTAGAGTTGTACTGGGCCATCTCAGATATCTCTGACTGGTCCTACTCATTGGTCCACAGAGGCCCCTGATGCTGCCCTCAAGGCCTAGGTTCTTAGAGGCCAACATCAGATACTCCTCTCCATCGTCCATCTGGGGTGCTGTGTGCGGCTGAAACATGGGTCTCCTTCACTTGCTGAAAATTCAACCCTATACAGCTCTAAGTCTGTGGGATGCTCACCCTCTCATTTCTTCCAGGCCACATTCTCATCTTTCATCTTTTTGCCCCCTTCCCCCACCTTTCTTAATTAAATTTAGCCACGTTCCTTTATGAAAATATTTGGAAAACAGAGGTTGTTAATTCTAATTTCTCTCATACTTCCACCCTAGGACTCAAAATCTTGGGTTTTTTTCTTGAGAAAGGAAAGAAAAATATAATAGCTTTCAGTTGCATCAAAGAGAAAAACAAAACATAGACTAATATCCTGCTACAGTTTTAACATCTTGAAATTTGGTGATAATCATATTAGCTAACATCTACTGAGTGCATAAAATGTACCAGGAAGTGTTCGAAGGTTCTTTCTTTTAAAATTTATTTATCCTTACAGCAGCTCATGAGGTAGATACTCCCATTACCCACATTTTATAGATAAAGAGTTTGAGGCATAAAAGGTTAAATATTGTGTTAAATCACATAGGTACCTAGTGGTAGAGTCAAGAGTTGAACCCCAGGCAGTTGATTCAAGCATTTGTGCTCATAAACATTTTTGTATATTTTCTGTCATACCACCTACTAAAATCAAAGGCAGTTTGCTGATTTAGCAAGAAATGTTTTTGGTCATACATACAAAACATTTTAGCTATGGATCAGAAATTGGGAATTAAGTCCAATTCTCACTTGAGCTTACACTGGACACTTGGAAAAGTGTTCTAATTTCTTCACTCTGCTAGAGAAATGTATTTTAATTTCAAGTTTAACCTTCCATTGGTACCTTTGAAAGAGAAAACCTTTGCCTAACTTTAATGTTTCCTACATTAACATTTAGATAGAAATGTTTACATAGAAAAAAAGAGGATTGAAAGTGGAATTTATTTATTATCTACCTATCACCTATTATATCCATCTATCATCTATGTTTATCTGTCTATTCATCTATTCATCCATCATCTATAATTACTCCATTGACATTGTTTGTGCTATTGGCAGCTTAGTTCTTTCTCCATTACTGAAGTTACCATGAGCTGAGTAAAAGTCCATGATAAAAATCACAGACTTTTTATTCTCAAAATTCTTTTCAGAATTGACTAAAGCCACCACATTAAAAAGAAAACTGTCAGGATCAGGAGTGCTGGTACTGCCCTTTTACTCTGCTTACAGTTATGCAACAGTTCCTCTGATAATTTCTGCTTCCAGGAGGGAACAGTGGATTATAAAAGAGGAAAAGTACTAAAAGGTTTATTGAGAACACGTGTTTCTATTTAGAATTCATTTAAGTTGCCTGGCACAGTGCAGGAACTCACAAACATTAGTTAACTTCTGTGCTTCCCTAAGAATGTGGAGGAGGAAAAATGAATAGAAGGTAAAAGCAGGACTGTAGTTCAATAATTTAAAACTGTTCCAGAAATGCTTTCTTAACATTAAAAATGAAGAACTTAAAGGAACCCCACATGATAGAAACTTTGGAGAAGTATCAATAACGGCAAAACATTTTTGGGCTTCAGAGAACTGGGGCTTTGTTCTATTGGGTCTTGTCATTTGTCTTCTTCCTTGATGCTCTATTTCTTCACCTACAAGGTGGTTTTCTGTCACCTTGCTAGAGGCTGTGTAGAGATAAGATCATGTTTGTAAAGCAATCTGCAGTGCCTGTTTGGGTTTTCTCGCATAATTTATTGCTTCCACAGGTGATTGAAGTCTGCAGCTGGTAACAGGGATTCTGCAAGGTTACTGGGATGTCATTCACTCATCTGGGAGGTCTTTGTGCCCCCCAACTTACTCTGGCTGTTTATGTCACCTTATTGTTGGGAGCATGTCTTATTCTATCCATTAGCATAAAGGTGTTCAGAGTTAATGATGAGTAAACAATATATATTTTATGTGTTTTACAGGTAATTACCTTTCCTTTGCATCTTAGGTGGAACAATTTGACTGTGTTCACAACTATTATTTGAACACATTTTAAAAATTGCTTTGGTCATTATTTCAGGCACTTGTAAAGTTGCCCCCTAAGATTTCTGCTAAAAGTCCTATGCATTTAGATTCATGGCTATGCTTCTGGGCATTCTCGTGTTTGAGAAAAACATAAATATCTGCCAAAGTGCAATGGGTAGTTTTGGAAAAGAGATGATCACTCTATTCCTATCAATCTTATGGAAGTCCATTGTTTAATTCTTGGATCAGAGCCATTCACATACAGAAGACACAGATAATCCCTTAGGCATGAAAGGTTACTTCCTAAGTTGCTCATTCAGTAGATTCCATTTGCATGAAAAGACAGGTCCTCAGTTTTCTCTGTATTGTTTGTATTGCTTTATTAGGAAAGCAGCATAGAAGTTTAGGTGAGAACAAGTGATTTTAACTTTTCATAGAACTGAGTCAAATCATGACTTTGCTACCCTTGAATTGTATGATGACAGTCAAACCCCTTATGTTCTTTCAGTTTCAGCTTCCTCACCCATGCCATTCTTCTTTTTTTTTTTTTTTTTTTGAGATGGAGTCTCGCTCTGTTGCCCAGGCTGGAGTGCAGTGGCGCGATCTCGGCTCACTGAAAGCTCCACTTCCTGGGTTCAAGTCATTCTCCTGCCTCAACCTCCCGAGTAGCTGGGACTACAGGTGCCTGCCACCACGCCTGGCTAATTTTTTTTGTATTTTTAGTAGAGACAGGGTTTCACTGTGTTAGCCAGGATGGTCTCTATCTCCTGACCCCATGATCTGCCCGCCTCAACCTCCCAAAGTGCTGGGACTACAGGCGTGAGCCACCGCACCCGGCCCACCTATGCCATTCTTAACTCAGTGTTGTCTTGCAAGTTAAATGACCCAGCACTTAGACATAAATGTTCACATACTAAATTTTTAATAAGTCTTGATTATTAAAATAATTTTTAATTACTAGCTTACTTACATTTAGTAGGCAAGAGATCTAGGATTTTATTTTGGCTTTATCCAAATTCAAAGCCTATAGAAGAACACAATATTGCCCCAGAATAATATAGGTTTGCACAAATACACACGAACTCAAATTTATATAGACACACACAAATGTATATACACACATGCTCATCCACATAGAAACACACATGTGCACACATGCATGGATAAAAGAATACAAACTATTACATATGACTTATTGAGAGTAATATATGCATTGAGCATAATATACAGATGTGTAAGTATGGGGTACTAGAAGTGGAATTGCCAGACCCATTGTACAGATGTGGGCACTGAGTCTTATAGAGGTTAAATAATTTGCCTGCCCAAGAAACCTCACTGAGTAAATGAGGAAGCTAAAATGTAATGCTAAGGCTTTATTCTGGCAAAGTACATGCTTTTAATTCATACGCTATACAGCTTCACAAACCAGCATTTGGATTGGTGAATTTTATCTAGTCCAGGGTTTGGTTCTCAGTTCTGTACACTGAAAAACACAAGCTGTTAGCACACCAAGAATAAGCTTACTAACTAGGTTCAGAGAGACCAATGCATAAACCAGAGGAAGCTGATCCGTGTAGGCTCAGGCTTTATTTTTTAAATTTTCCATTTGCATGATTCAGATCTTTTTCTATGGAAAATTACAAAAGCCCAACTCAAGCTGGCTTATGCAAAACAAAATAAAGCAAGATAAAAGTGGCTGACTTTCATAACGAGAAAGAGCAGTGCTATCTTTAGAGACAAATAGTCTCAGATATTTAGATTAGGTGGCACAGATTCTATCCTGTCTTCTGGCATTGTTTTCATTTGCATTAGCTTTATGCTTAGGCAACCAAATATGGCAAAATTGGCCATAACTTCAGGCTTATATTCTAGCAGTTTAGCAACTCTGTCAGGACGAGCACGTCTCATTCCAGATATTTGCAAATGGTTCCAGCAAAACTCCTATGGCTGATTCTCACTGATCTAGATTTGATCACATCCATCATGAAACCAATCAGAGTAGCTTTGCCTTATCTAGGCCTAAATCACATTCCTATTCCTGTATCTGGAAAGATGAATAATATTCACAAACATGAACTGAGGGAAATGAAAATGTTCTCTTCAGAAGAAGGCTGAATGATTGCCAGCTAGACAAAAATAACAGGTATCTAAGTAATCTGATACACAGCCTAAAATACTTAGCCTGAAGAGGGAGCATTTTTCAAGGTGAGAAGTTGTACATGGAAAGTTAAATTAAAACCAGAAGTTTTTTGGTGAGTGCCTTTGTTCAGGCAGCTACGATTAAAAAAACCGTAGACTGGGAGGCTTATAACCAACTGAAATTTATTTCTCACAGTTCCAGAGACACAGAAGTCCAAGATCAAGGCACCAGAAGATTTTGTGTGGTGAGGGCCAGCTTTCTCAGCTACAGTTGTCTTCTCACTCTAACCTCACAAGATGGAAAGGCAAGGGATCTCCTTTGAGCCTATTTTATAAGGACACTAATTGTATTCTCTCCTATGTAGAGGAGCATCAGACTTTTTGTTTTATTTGGGCCTTCAACTGATGAGATAAGGGCTCTCCTCATACACATTAGGGGATAAGGTGGTATCACATTGTGGTTTTGATTTATTTGCATTTCCCTGATTATTAGTGATGTTGAGCAGTTTTTCATATGTTTGTTGGCCATTTCTATATCTTCTTTTGAGAACTGTCTATTCATGTCCTTTGCCCACTTTTTAAGGGGATTATTTGTTTTTTTTCTTGTTGATTAGTTTGAATTCCTTGTAGACTCTGGATATTAATGCTTTGTCAGATGCATAGTTTGTGAATATTTTCTCCCACTCTGTGGGTTGTCTGTTTATTCTGCTGATTATTTCTTTTGCTGTGTGGAAGCATTTTAGTTTAATTAAGTCCTATTTATTTATTTATTTATTTATTTATTTTGCATTTGCTTTTGGGTTCTTGGTCATGAAGTCTTTTCCTAAGCCAATGTCTAGAAGAGTTTTTCTGGTGTTATCTTCTAGAATTTTTAAGGTTTCAAGTCTTAGATTTAAGTCTTTGATCCATCTTGAGTTGATCTTTGTCTAAGGTGAGAGATGAGGATTCAGTTTCATTCTTCTATATGTGTCTTGCCAATTATCCCACCACCATTTATTGAAGAGGGTGTCCTTTCCCCACTTTGTGTTTTTGTGTGGTTTGTTGAAGATCAGTTGGCTGTAAGTATTTGAGTTTATTTCTGGGTTCTCTATTCTGTTCCATTGGTCTTCATGCCTTTTTTTTATACCAGTACCATACTGCTTCGGTAGCTATAGCCTTGTAGTATAGTTTGAAGTCTATCACATAACCTAATGTGATGCCTCCAAATTTGTTCTTTTTGCTTAGTCTTGCTTTGGCTATGCAGGCTCTTTTTTCATTCAATATTAATTTTAGGATTTTTTTCTAGTTCTTTGAAAATGATAGTGATATTTTGATGGGAATTACATTGAATCTGTAGATTGCCTTTGGCATTATGGTTATTTTCACAATAATTCTACCCATTCAGGAACATGGGATGTGTTTCCATTACTTTGCGTCTTCTATGATTTCTTTCAGCAGTGTATTGTAGTTTTCCTTGTAGAGATCTCTGACCTCCTTGGTTAAGTATATTCCTGAATATTTTATTTCATTTTATTTTATTTTATTTGCAGTTGTAATAAAGATTGAGTTCTTTATTTTATTCTCAGCTTGGTTGTTGTTGGTGTAGAAGTGCTACTGATTTGTGTACACTGATTTTGTGTCTTGAAACTTTACTGAATTCATTTATCAGATCTAGGAGCTTTTTAGATGAGTCTTTAGCATTTTCTAGGTATATGATCATATCTGAGAGCAGTGACAGTGTGACTTTCTCTTTTCCAATTTGGATGCCCTTTATTTCTTTCTCTTGCCTGATTGCTCTGGCTAGGATTTCCAGTACTACATTGAATATAAGTGGCAAAAGTGAGCATCCTTGTTTTTTCCAGTTCTCACGGGGATTGCTTTCAGCTTTTCCCTGTTCCGTATGATGTTGGCTATGGGTTTGTCATAGATGGCTTTTATTACTTTGAGATATACTTCTTCTGTGCCAGTTTTGCTGAGGATTTTAATCATAAAGGGATGCTGGATTTTGTCAAATGCTTTTTCTGCTTCTGTAGAGATGATTATATAATTTTTGCTTTTAATTCTGTTTATGTAATATACCACATTAATTGACTTGTGTATTTTAAACCATCCCTGGACCCCTGGTATGAAATCCACTTGCTCATGTTGTATTATCTTTTTGATATGCTGTTGGATTTGGTTAGCTAGTATTTTGTTCAGGATTTTTGCATCTATGTTCATCAGGGATATTGGTTTGTAGTTTTGTTGTTGTTGTTGTTGTTATGTTCTTTCCTGATTTTGGTATTTGGGTGATACTGGCTTCATAGAATGATTTAGGGAGGATTCCCTCTGTTTCTATCTTTTAGAATAGTTTCAGTAGGATTGGTAGCAATTCTTCTTTAAATGTCTAATAGGATTCAGCTGTGAATCCATTTGGTCCTGGACATTTTTTTGTTGGCAATTTTTTTTATTGGTTTCAATCCCTCTACTTATTCTTTATTTGTTCAGTTTCTACTTCTTCATGATTTAATTTAATCTAGGAGGGATGTGTATTTCCAGCAAGTTATCCATCTCCTCTAGATTTTCTACTTTGTACACATAAAGATGTTCATAATAATCTTGAATGATCTTTTGTATTTCTGTGGTATTGGTTGTATTATCTTCCGTTTCATTTTGAATTGAGCTTATTTGGATCTTCTCCCTTCTTGGTTAATCTCGCTAACAGTCTATCAGTTTTATTTATCCTTTCAAAGAACTAGTTTTTGTTTCATTTATCTTTTGTATTTTTTTGTTTCAATTTCATTTAGTTCTGCTCTGATCTTTGTTATTTCTTTTCTTCTGCTGAGTTTGGGTTTGATTTGTTCTTGTTTCTTTAGTTCCTTGAGGTGTGACCTTAGATTGTCTATTTGTGCTCTTTCAGACTTTTTGATATAGGCATTTAATGCCCTGGGCTTTCGCCTTAGCACCTGTAGATTTTGCTGTAGATTTTGATTTGAGGTTTTGATAAGTTGTGTCACTATTATTATTCAGTTCAAAAAATTTTCTAATTTTCATATTGATTTCATTGTTGACTCAAAGATCATTCAAGAGCAGATTATTTAATTTCCATGTGTTTGTATAGTTTTGAGGTTTCTTTTGGAGTTAATTTCCAGTTTTATTTCATGGTGGCTTGAGAAGATACTTGATATAATTTCGGTTTTCTTAAATTTATTGAGACTTGTTTTGTGGCCTATTGTAAGTGCCCCACTGATATCGTGTTGCTGTCTATCTCATTTCTTGGGTCTAGTAGTAATTGTTTTATAAATTGGGGAGCTCCAGTGTTAGGTGCATATATATTTAAAATGGTGATGTTTTCTGGTTGGACTAATCCTTTTATCATGATATAATGTCCCTCTGTCTTTTTAAACTATTGTTGCTTTAAAGTTTGTTTTGTCTGATATAAGAATAGCTACTCCTCCTCATTTTTGGTTTCTATTTGCATGGAATATATTTTTCCAACCCTTTACCTTGAGTTTATATAAGTCCTTATGTATTAGGTGAGTCTCTTGAAGACAGCAGATGCTTGGTTGGTGGATTTTTATCCATTCTGCCATACTGTATCTTTTAAGTGGTGCATTTATGCCATTTACATTCAATGTTAGTATTGAGATGTGAGTTACTGGTCTGTTCCTCATGGTAGTTGTTGCCTGAATATCTTATTTTTTTCTATTGTATTATTGTCTTATAGGACCTGTGAGATTTATGCTTTAAGGAGGTTCTATTTTGGTGTATTTCATGGTTTTGTTTCAAAATGTAGAACTCCTTTTAGGATTTCTTGTAGTGCTGGTTTTATAGTGGTAAATTGATATGGTTTGGCTGTGTTCCCATCTAAATCTCAACTTGAATGGTATCTCCCCAAATTCCCACATTTTGTGGGAGGGAACCAGGGGGAGGTAATTGAATCATGGGGGCCAGTCTTTCTCATGTTATTCTTGTGATAGTGAATAAGTCTCATAAGATCTGATGGGCTTATCAGGTGTTTCTGCTTTTACTTCTTCCTCATTTTCTCTTGCCATCGCCATGTAAGAAGATCCTTTCACCTCCCGCCATGATTCTGAGGCCTCCCCAGCCATGTGGAACTGTAGGTCCAATTAAACCTTTTTCTGTTCCCAGTTTCGGGTATGTCTTTATCAGCAGTGTGAAAATGAACTAATAGAAAAATTATCTCAGCATTTGTTTGTCTGGAAAAGACTTTATCTCTCCCTCATTTATGAAGCTTAGTTTTGCTGGACACATAATGCTTGGCTGACAATTATTTTGTTTAAGGAGGCTAAAGGTTAAGATCTCACTGCCTTCTGGCTTGTAAAGTTTCTTCTGAGAAATCAGCTGTTAATCTGATACGTTTTCCTTTATAGGTTGTTTTTGTCTCACAGCTGTTAAGATTCTTTCCTTCACCTTGACTTTACATAACCTGATGACTACGTGGCTAGGTGATGAACTTTTTGTGATAAATTTACCAGGAGTCCTTTGAGCTTCTTGTATTTGGATAGCTAGATCTTTAGCAAGGCTAGGGAAGTTTTCCTCAATTATTCCCTCAAATAAGTTTCCCAGACTTTTAGATTTCTATTCCTTCTCAGAAACAACAATTATTCTTAGGTTTGGTCATTTAACATAATTGCAGATTTCTTGGAGGTTTTGTTTAATTTTTAAAATTCTTTTTAAAAAAATTTTTTGATTGGGTTAATTTGAAAGCCTTGACTGTGAGCTTTGAAGTTCTTTCTTTTACTTGTTCTAGTCTATTGTTGAAATTTTTCACTGCATTTTGTATTTCCCTAAGTTTGTTTTTCATTTCTAGAAGTTGTAATTGTTTTTTCTTTATATCAATTTCTCTGGAGCATTTTTCACCCATATCCTGTATTGTTCTTAAAGTTTCTTTAAGTTGTTTTTCACCTTTCTTTGGTATCTCCTTTGGTAGCTTAATAATCAACCTTTTTTTTTTTTTCTCTGAATTCTTTTTCTGGCAATTCAGAGTTTTCTTCTTGGTTTGGATCCATTGCTGGAGAGCTAGTGTGATCTTTGGGGGTGTTACAGAACACTGTTTTGTCATATTATCAGAATTACTTTTCTGGTTCTTTCTCATTTGAGTAGACTATTTCTTCAAATTCTTCTTGAATTTATTTTTGATTGAATTTTGTTTTTTTAAATTTAAATTTCTTTTTTTCCCTCTTAAGATCAGACTTTAAAGTTCATTTTAGCCTAATTTGATTCTCGGTGTCAGTATGTGTGAAGACTCTGTATGAGATCCTTTGTTATAGACAGTCTTTGTGCCTTGGCATTCCCCAATGGTGATGGTAATAGTTATATTCTTAGTGTGTGAATGAGTTCATTGTCTCCTATGGAGTTGGATGGCAGGGATCTCATGAAGCTTATCTCATTCTCTTGTGGTGTACACTTTATTTATTTAATTTGTCCCCAATGTTTTGTTTACTGAGTTGATGATTCAGCTTCAGGCCAATAGGGGAAGTATCCCTGGGCAGGCACAAGTTGTGGCTAAGGCAGGTGTGTAGATGCAATCCTAATGCTGGGCTGAGGTCCTAGCCTTGATGAGGGTGCCTGGAGGGGCTCTCAATTAGAAATACTGGGGTTTTATCAGGGTGAAGAGTGGGAGCTACCTCAGCTCCCCTGCCAGGTCATCAGGAAAGCTATTCACCTCACAGCCTCACTCTTCTCTTAGTGTTTCAGCTATTTAGATCAGAGAGGAACCTCTGTTTATCTATATGAATGTTGATATTTCAAGTAGGGAGGAATTGTGACTTTGCCTCTACTGCAGGCCTGAATCTGGGGTGTGCTCCTCCTGTGGGGCTGCACTCACCCTGGATTGTTCTAGAAAGGCTGTCTATAGGTGTCTCCATGCTGCATTCCTATGAAGGAAGCTCCAGCTGTGTCTATGCGGGAGTGATAGGGGATACAAGGATCCCTTCCCCAAGGTCCTTCATGATCACAGAGGCTGCCTGCCTGTTGAAGTATAGGTACAGATATTCCCTACTGCGCCCAACACTGCAATTTTGGTTCTGCTGTGAGAAACGTCCCACTGGCTGAAGGATCTGGAACACAAGACCTGCTGTTCAAATTCTTTTGTCCTGTTGGATGATCACTTGATGTGGTGCTCTCCCACTTCCCCTAGGGATGGGGCTTCCTGAGAGCTAGACTGGAGTGATTGTTATTGCTCTTCTGGGTCTAGCCTCCCAGTGGGGCTACCAGGCTCTGGGCTGGTGCTGGGGAATGTCTGCAAAGAGTCCTGTGATGTGATCGGTCTTCAGGTCTCCCAGCTGTAGATACCAGCACCTGCTCTTGTGGAGGTGACAGCGGACTGAAGTAAACTCTGAGAATCCTTGGTCATAGGTTTAATATACTGGCTTTCTTGAATGCTGGTTATGCTAGCAGCGAAGTTGTCATGTGGACAGACTCAGGACCTCTGGTTAGCCAGGATGTTTCAGACAGTTGCATTAGCTGTTGTTTTCTCCTTCCTGGGAGCAGTGTTATTCTGTCATAAGTTGCTGTAATGGCCTAAATTGGTTAGCCTCCTGCCAGGAGGTGGCACTTTCAAGAGAGCACCAGCTGTGGTATTAGCAGTGGAATTTAAGGTTGTCCTAAATTGGCCAGTGGAAGTATTCTGGTTTCTCAGGGGATGGGCAGGGCCATTAACCTCCCAAGAGTATATGTCTTTTGTGTTCAGCTACTGGGGTAGGTAGAGAAATACCATCATGTGGGGATAGGGTTACATGGGCCTGAGCTCAGACTCTCCTTAGGCTGGGCTTGCTGCAGCCACTGTGGGGGATGGGGAGTGGTTCTCAGGCCAATGGGGTTATGTTACATAGGGGATTATGGCTGCCTCTACTGTGCAGTATAGTTCACCAGAGAAGTGGGGGGATAGCTGGTAGTGAAAGGCCTCACCCAGCTCCAATGCAGTTGGTGAAGCTGGTCTCACTCCTGCAGTGCCTGCTAACAGCATCAAGTTTAGATTCAGGAAGCCTGAGCACAGAAGTCAGACCTGTCCCACCATAAACTTCTTGACCAAGAAAGCAAGCACAGCATTCAGGCCATGCCCCTGTCTGTCTGCCCACAACATTGGCAGCTTCTGTGCTCATATCTGGAGCGGTTCCCGTTTGCTCCCTGGATTCTGCTCAAGGAAGTTTGTGCCTACTCGAAATTATCACAAAATTCAGTTGAATGCTTCTTTCATCCTGTGACCCCTCCCTAATTCTGCTGGCTACCTTCCCTGTGGGCCTCTGTGAGATATAGTGAGGGATGGCTTCCCTGGGCTCAAGCTGGAGACTGACAGTACCTATAAGGCTCTTCCCACTGCTGTTTCTACTTTTGTATTTCACATAGCTTTCTAAATTTTTTCTAGCTCTAGGTAAGGTTAAATTCTTCTCCTGTGATTTGGATTTTCAGATTCCTCAGTGGAGAATATGTGTTCAGAGGCAAACTTTTCCTCCTCTCACACTTCAGGGACTCACAGTTTTTTGTTTGTCTTGTGAAGTTTGCAGTGGCATGCTATTCCTTTCAAAGGATCTGTGAATTCTTTTGATTTTCCTGGTCCATTCCTGCAGTGGTTCTTGGAAGAAAAGTTCACAATGAGAGCCTCTACACTCTGTTCTGTCCGTCCAAATGGGAGATGCACAGTAGCCCTGCCTCCTATCCACCATCTTGCTCCTGGCATATTATGGTTTTTAATTAAATTGTACTATCTTTTTCTCTCATAAATAGAAATAAAAATAGCTTATTTGTACAGAATCAAACATATCAAGAATTCATAATTTAACTAACTTTATGGATGTACCAAGTTATCTTAGACTTCCAAAATCTCAATTTTCTTATTTTTATAATGAGTATAATAATGTATCTCTCACAACGTTGTTGGAAAACTTAAATAATAAATGGGAAAGAAGCTAGCAGTATGTATATGACTTACTTATAGTAGACATAAAGGGATGTTAATCATTTTCCCAGGTTTGATGTGTTAATTAATTAAAAACTGATTACAATATTTTGGACCAGGTGCTGTGACTGGAAGTTACTGAAGGAGGTAAGTAAACATAATTTATATTTTTGGTCATTTAATTGTATTGCCAATATCTTTTAGTTGGATAGTGGTGGTAAGCACTCTATTTCACTTTTCTCTCCCTTTCTTATAAAGGGGGTTTAATTAAAGCATTATTGTATTTGCCTTTTTATTTTTATTTTTTTTGAGACAGAGTGTTGCTCTGTCACCCAGGCTGGAGTGCAATGGTGTGATCTCAGCTTACGACAAGTTCCGCCCTCCAGGATCACGCCATTCTCCTGCCTCGGCCTCCTGAATAGCTGGGACTACTGGCGCCCACCAACATCCCTGGCTAATTTTGTTTTTGTATTTTTAGTACAGACGGTGTTTCACTGTGTTAGCCAGGATGGTTTCAGTCTCCTGACCTTGTGATCCACCTGCCTTGGCCTCCCAAAGTACTGGGATTACAAGCGTGAGCCACCACACCCAGCTGTATTTGCCTTTTATAGATCCTCTTTGGTGAAATGTCTCTTCATGTCTTTTGCCATTTTCTTTTTGAATTCTTTTTAACTGATGAGTTTTGAGAGTTCTTTATATATTCTAGATTTATTTTTTGTTGATATTTGCAAATATTTGCAGTTTTTCTTTGCTCTCTCCTCTGGGTCTCTCACAGAATAAAAATTTTTAACTGTGATGATGAAACTACCATTTTTTTCCCTCATTTATGAATCATGCTTTTGGTGTCATTGAAAACTCTTTACCAAGACTTAGGTCCTGAAGATTTTCTTCTAAGTTATCTTCTATATTTTTATACATTTTACACTTAAATCTTAAACCTTTTGAATTTTTGTATAAGGTGTGAAGTTTAGGTCAAGGTTTATTATTATTATTTTGCCTATGAATATCCAATTGCTCCAGCACCATTTGTTGAAAATACTATTCTTTTTCTATGTAATTCTTTGTGCACCTTTTGATAGGGTTTGGCTCTGTGTCTCCTCCGACATCTCATCTCCAACTGTAATCGCCATGTGTCGGGGGAGGGGCCTGGTGGGATGTGGTTGAATCATGGGGTGGACTTCCCTGTTGCTGTTGTCATGACAGCGAGTGGGTTTTCACCACTTCTGGTTGTTTGAAAGTGTATGACACTTCCTCCTTTGCTCTCTCTCTCCTCCATCACTGTGAAGATGTGCGGGCTTGCCCTTCATCTTCTGCCTTGATTTTCAGTTTCCTGAGGCCTCCCAGTCATGCTTCGTGTTAAGTCTGGGGAAGTGTGAGTCAATTACACATCTTTTCTTTTTAAATTACACAGTCGCAGGTAGTTCTTTATAGCAGTGTGAAAACAAACTATTACACCTTTGTATATAATCAGTATGCTGTACTTGTATGGGTCTATTTCTGGGTTTTCTATGACGGTCCCTTGATCTATGTGTTTATACGTCTGTGAAAACCACACAGTATTGATTATTGTGGCTATATAATAAGCCTTGATAAAATAATTCTTCCCACCTTATTCTTTTTCAAAATTGTTTTATATATCCAAGTTCCACTACCATTCTACATATTTTAGAATAATCTTGTATGTATCTACAAAAAATCCTGCTGAGATTTTGACAGGAATTGTGATAAATGTTTATCAGTATGTACATCTTTACTATGTTGTCTTCCAATCCATGATACAGTGTGATGGTTACTTTTATGTGTCAGCTTTACTGGGCTAAAGAATGCCCATGTAGCAGCTGAAATATTATTTCTAGGTGTGTTTGTAGGATGTTTCTGGAAGAGACTAACATTAAAATAGGCAGAATGAGTAAAGAAAATTATTGTCACCAGTGTGGATGGGCATTGTCCAATCCTTTGAGTGCCTGAGTAAAGCAAAAAAGTGGAGGGAGAGTGGATTCACTATCTCTATTTAAGCTGGGTTGTCTACTTTCTCCTGCCCTCAGACATCTATGCTCCTGGTTCTTAGATCTTCAGAACTGGATTGAGACTTACACTAATGGCTTTCATGGTTCTCCAGCTTGCAAATAATGGAACTTCTCAGCCTCTATAATTATATGAGCCAATTTACATAACAGATTTCCTCTTAAATACATCTTTAAATCTCCATCTATCTAATCTATCAATCGATCTCTATATCTCTATCTATTTATCTATTCTATTCTATATTCATTTTGCTTATCTGGAGAACCTGATTAATACATACAGTATGCTTTCCCATTTATTTAGGTCTTGGTTGATTTTTTTTCATCAGAATTTTGTGATTTTTCTGGATCTAGATCCTGTATTTGTTTTGTTAAACATACATCTAAGAATTTATTTTGTTTAAAAGCAATTGTGTCATTGTACTTTTAATTTTGATGACCATGTGTTCACTGCTAGTATATAAAAATACAATTAATTTTTGTATGTTCATCTGACATCTGATGTATGTTGATCTTACATCTGTATGTTGATCTGACCTTGCCAAAGTCACTAAGTAGTCAATAGATTCCTTTAGGTTTTATACATAGATGATTATGTCATCTGCAAATAGGGACAATTTTATTTTTTCCTTTTCAATCTGTATGTCTTTTCCTTCATTTACTTGCCTTATTACATGAATGAGAATTTCATAATTATGATGAATAGAAGTGATGAGAGCAAATGTCCTTGCCTTGTTGCAATCTTAGAGGAAAGCTTTCGGTCTTTCATGATTAAATGTGATGTTAGCTGTAGATGCCCTTTTTCAAGTTGGGGAAGGTCTCTTCTATGCTTCATTTTCTCAAAATTTTAATTTTGAATAGATGTTGAATTCTAAATTTTGTCAAATGCTTTTTCTCCAGCAATTGATATGATGGTGCAGTTTTTCTTTATAGCCTCTTAATATGGTGGATTACACTATTTTTTTTTTTTTTTTGGTGGAGTCTCGCTCTGTTGCCCAGGCTGGACTGCAGTGGCGTGATCACTGCAACCTCTGCTTCCTAGGTTCAAGTGATCCTCCTGCCTCAGCCTCCCGAGTAGCTAGGACTATAAGCGTGTGCCACCATGCCCGGCTAATTTTTGTATTTCTAGTAGAGATGCGGTTTCACCATGCTGGCCAGGCTGGTCTTGAACTCCTGACCTTGTGATCCACCTGCCTCAGCCTCCCAAAGTGCTGGGAGTACAGGCATGAGCCATCTTGCCTGCCTACACTAAATTTTCTAATATTGAGCTAGCTTTGCCTCCCTGGAATAAACATCCAACACGGTCTTATAAAATTCTTTTTACATATTGCTGAAATCCATTTGCAGTATATTTACGAAGAATATTGGTCTGCAGTTTTCATTTTCTGTACTGTCTTTGGAATAAGGGTGACACTGGCTTCACAAAATGAATTAATTGGGCCATGTTGCCCTCTCATCTGTTTTCCAGAAGAAATTGTGTAGAATTGGTGTTATTTTAATTTAAACATTTGGTCGTATTCTCCTGTGAAACCATTTGGGCCTGGGAATGCCTTTTTGAAGAGTTTAAAATTTCTTAATTCAATTTATTTAACTGTCATGAGCCTATTCACATTATTGATTTCACTTTGCATGAGTTGTGGTAGATTGTGTGTTTTGAGAAAATGGTCTGTTTTATCTATGTCGAATTTATGTGTGTGTAATTGTTCACAGTATTCTTTTATTCTTTTGATATCTTCAGGGTTTGTAGTGGTACCTATTTTCTTCCTGAGTGCTAATTTGTGTCTTTTCTCTCTCCTTTTGACATTCTCACTAGATATTTGTCATTTACAAAAAAACTTTCAAAAAACAAGTTTCAGTTTCATCAATTTTCTCTATTTCTTGTTTTCAATTTTATTTATTTCTGCTGTTTTCTTTATTATTTCCTTTCTTCTGCTGACTTTGGGTTAATCTTGCTCTTTTCTTTTAGTTTCTTGAGGCAGAAACTTAGATTATTGACTTGTGATCTTTTCTCTATTCTCGTGTGAGCATTTGATGCTAAAATTTTTTTTTCTTATCATTGCTTAAGTTGTGTCCCACAAAATTTAATATGTTGTATTTTCATTTTCATTCAATTCAATATATTTTTAAAATTTTCCTTGAGACTTCCTCATTGACCCATGGATTACTTAGAAACATATTTAGTTTTCAAGTGTTTGAAGATTTTCCCATTATCTTTCACTTATTGATTTGTAGTTTGACTCTATTGTTGTCAGGGATGATTCTCTATAGCCATTTTTTAGGGTAATTCTGCTGGTGAGAAATTCTTTTAGCTTTTCTTTATCTGATAATGTCTTTTTCTTTCATGTCTGAAAAATGATTTTAATTTTTTAAAACATTTTGAGGTATGTTTTATGGTTCAGAATACGGTCAATCTTGGTATATGTTCTGTGGACACTTGAAGAGAATGTGTATTTTGCTGTTATTGGGTGGATTGTTCTATACATGTTAATTTGATCTTGTTAGTTGATGATGTTGAGTTCTTCTATATCCTTGCTGATTTTCTGTCTAGTAGTCCTGTCATTTGCTTCAGGACATAGTGTTGACATCCTTAATTTTAATTGTGGATTCATCTATTTCATTTCTTTTTTTAGCTCTATTAGTTTTTTGCCTCATGTATTTTGAGATTCTGTTGTTTGGTGCATACATAATTAGGATTTCTGTGCCTTCCTGGTAGATTTATCCTTTTATCGTTATGTAATGTTACTCTGTATCCTGGTAATTTTCTCTGCCCTAAAGTCTACTTTATCTGATATTCATATTAACATTCCTGTTTTCTTTTGATTAATGTTTGCATGGTATATCATTTTTCATCTTTGAAAATTTTCACTTACCTATATTATTATGTTTGAAGTGAGTTTCTTATAGACAGCATATAGTTGGGTCTACCAATTTTTGATTTATGTATTTAAACTGTGTATATTTAGTGCAATTTTTGATAAGCTAAGGCTTAAGTCTGCCATTTTACTTTTGTGTTCTGTTTGTACTTTCTGTTTCTCATTTTTCCATTTTCTTTTCTCTCCTTTTCTATAGTTACTTGACTATCTCCTAGAATTCCATACTAATTCATCTGTGGTGTTTTTAAGTGTATCTTGTATAGATTTTTAAATGGTTGCTCAAGGTATCACATTAAATATATATCACTTATCACAGTCTACTGCTGTTTATTGGTGTTCAAGTGAAGTATAGAAATCTTTCCTTCCTTTATGTCTCTTTACCCTCACTCATGTATAGTATAATTAACTTAACTTATTTTCTAATACATTGAGACAGTTTATAATGTATCATAAATTATTATAATATTTGTTTAACTGTCAAACATAATTTAGAAAATATAGAAGATGAGAAAAATCTATAATATTTACCCACAATTTTTCTTTTTCTCTTATTCTTTCTTCCTTTCTGATGTTCTAGAATTTTTGGTTTATCAGTTCCTTTCTGCTTGGAGAATTTTATTTAGCCATTCTTTAGGGTGACTCTGCTGGTGACAAATTCTTTTAGTTTTTCTTAATCTGAGAATGTCTTTTCCCTTCATTTCTGAAAAATATTTTTGGCTGGCTAAAAAACTCAGAATTTGCATTTCTTCTATTTTAGCATTTAGAAAATGTTGTATTACTTCCTTCTGGCCTTCATGATTTTTAACGAGAAATCTGTTGTCATTTGAATTATTTTTCTCCTATAGATAAGGTGTCATTTTTCTCTTCCTGCTTTCATGATATTTTTTATTTTGTAGTTTTCAGAATTTGACTATGATGTGCCTAGGTGGGATTTCTTTGGGCTTGTTCTGTTTGGGATCTGCTCAGCTTCTCAAATTTGTAAGCTTATGTTTTCTTGACAAATTCAGGAAATTTTTAGCCATTCTTTATTTGAATACCTTTTCAGCCACACCATCTTTCTCTTTTCCTTCCAGTTGTTCATGACATAAATGTTAAAACTTTTGTTATAGTCCCAAAGGTCTCTGTTTTTCTTTCTGTTTTCTCTCTGTTGATCAGATTGGTTCATTTCCATTGTTTATCTTCCAGTTCACGGATTCTTTCCTTTATCCTTTCCATTCTACTGTTGGGCACGTTTATTAAGTTTTTTTTTAAGTTTAGTTATTGTATATTTTAGTTCTAAAAATATCATTTTGTTCTTCTTTATATCTTTTATTCCTTAGCTAATACTTTGCATTTTTTTCATTCGTACCAACATATTCATAATTGGTGAAACATTTTAATTGTGGATCCTTTAAAATTCTTGCAAGATAATCCCAATGTCTGTATCTCAGTGTTGGCATCTGTTGATTGTCTTTTCTTATTCTAGCTGAGAATTTTCTAATATGATGAGTAATTTTTTAAATTGAATTCTGGAAATATTGGTTATTTTGAGCTTATTTAAATCTTTGGTATAGCAGGCATTCTCTGAAAACCTTCTAGAAGGGAAAGAAAAGCATCATGTCATTATTGCCAAGTGTGGGTGAAAGTCCAGCTTGCCCACTTGATCCCCACTGACAGTGGCGCAGGGGTGTTCTTTGTTACTGCTGGGCAAGGGTAGGGGATGAGGCTTTCTATTATACATCCACTAATACCACTCTGTCTATGAGTAGGAGGGATTTGTCTTTACTTCTTATATGGTCTCCCTGACACTTTCAGCAGGGACGAGGTTACTTTGTTACTAGTGAGTATGGGTGAAAGTCCTGACTCTCCATTAGGCCTTCTCTGATACCAACTCAGCAGGCAGGGTGAGGGGCATCTTAATACCTCAGGGTTGGGTGAAAGTGAAGACTCCCCATGTGGTCTCCACTACTCCGTTGACCCCATAGTAAAAGGTCACTCAGTGGAGGAGAACATCCCAGCTTTTTTTGGCTTTCACTGATGCTTCCCTGGCAGAAGGATGGGGATGACTTTTTACAGCTTAATGAAGGTAGGAGCCTAGTCAGTTTTCTTTGGTGGTGGAGGTGTGAATGGGGTTACAGTTTTTTGTTTTTGTTTTTTTCCTGTGGTGTTTGGCTGGTGTATAGTGGTTATTGTCTAATTGTTTTTCCTATCTTGCTAGGTACCTCCTTATTTGGCTGGAAAGGGAAATTTTTTAGGAAGTATTTTTGTGCCTATTGGTATTTCCAGGTGACTGGCTTCTTCAGCACTCAGTCTGGGACATATATGGCAAAACAAAAATGTAGAGAATTCATTGCTCAGAAGTACACATGCTTCCAATTATGGAAACATTTCTTTGCTTCAAATTTTAAATTGGTTTTCTTCTGTGCTTTCTCTACCCTAGGGGCTTAAGTTTTAGCATTCTTAGGTTTTCAAGGTCAGTTCCTATTTATCTGCTTTCCAGTTTTTCAAAATTTTCTGTTTAGCGTCTTCCCTTAATTACCTTGTTTTTATGGATTCATTTAAAAATGTAATGTTAATTTATTAGGACTTTGTGATGAATATGCATGTCATTTTTGAACTCCTTGCCTCAAGCAATCTTCCTGCCTCAGCCTTCCAAAGTGCTGTGATTACAAGCACGTGCTGCTGCACCCAACTAACTATGCATGTTATTTTAAAGGATCTGTTTTAAAGTACAATTCTTCAAAAAAAAATTCCTCTGTGTATTTGTTTATTTAAAATATTTTGAGTCTACTCTCTCCAAGTCAATGTTTTCATGCATTGTAAAAGTCAGTGGTCATCAGGAGACAGAAACTCTATCAGTTATTTTAATGGAGAGAATTCAATACAAGAATTATTGACTAGATAATTTGGAACTAAAAATAGACAACAAAAAGAACATGATGATATGGAAATAGTAATTGCAGAAAGTAGCTACCATTCCTACAGTTGAGAGAATAAAAGGAAGAGGATACAAGGATTAAAATTTAGAAGGTTAGAGGAGGGGCTCATGAAACTGAAATCCTGAGAAGCGTGCTTCTCAGGTGGTGCTATCTGTGGGCTCAGAGAAGGGGTCTGTGAGGCTGGTATTTAGCCCACTGGGGAGTTGGGTGGTGGTTAGCTGTCCCTGAGGGTCTTTGATGGCACATGATAAGGCTGGTTTTGCAAGTGTTGGACCACTGCAAAGTGGATTCAACCGATGCTAGGAGAACAAATTACTGCCAAGCCTTCAGCAAATCTTGAAAATATAATCGAATTCTAATATCTTCTCATGACCTCTACTTCTATTCCTCTTACCCACACCACCATCATCTCTTGCCTGGATTATTCCAAAAACCTCCTATTAGAATTCCTGGCTTCCTCTGTTGTCCCTCTTTAGTCTATTCTTTTTTAAAAATATAAGCAGCCAATGTAATCCTGCCAAATTTTAAGTCTGAGCATTTCACTGTACTGCTCAGAATTTTCCAGTGTCTTTTTATTTTACTCAGAGTAAAAACCAAAATCATCACAATACCCCACCAAGCCCTATATAGTTCCGCCTGCCTGCAGTTGTCACGCACAGCTGCACCACTTCAGAGGGTGTCATTCATATAGAAAATTATGTGCCACATGCCAGCTCTAAGCCCACCACTCCTCCTTTTATCTTTCTGACTTTCCTTCCTATTACTTTTATTTCATTTATTCTGTCCCAATCCCCTTGGTCTGCTTGCTATTCCTCAGATATGCTAAATACACTTCAAGGCCATTGACCTTGCTGTTCTCTCTTATTCTCCTTTAGATATATGTATGGCTTTTTCTGTGCATTGTACAGATTTGGTTTTTACTTAAATGTATCAGCTCAGTAATTCTTTCCCTGGCCTATTTAAAAATGCATCTAGTCTTTCTTCCTGCAGTCCCAATCCCTTTTCCCTACCTTATTTTTTTTCATGGCACTTAATACCATATTACACACTATATGTTAACTTATTATTTATTTTCTTTCCTCCTCTCAATCTAACTATAGTACTAAAAAAAAAGGTTTTTTTTTTTTTTTTTTGGTCTGGTCCATCAGTCATGTGCTCCATTACCTAGAGCTGTGCATAATATATAGTAAGTGACCAATACATATTTTGTACTTTTGATTATAGAGAATAGTATCTTAAATTACTATTTCCATACTTTGTGAAGATTTGAACTGCCTTACAATAAATGAAAATGGATTTGTAATTTGAAATTCTAGAAAAGCATGAGAATCTGCACCAAGATGCCAATTTGATATGGTTAACACATGGATTTTACAAGATGGAAGTTAGATTGAATTGAAAATTACATATGTTTGCAATAGTAAAGCTGTATCATATTGCCAAATTTATATAATATTTATAATTGTGGAAGTTGCTATATCCACCGTCTACCAGAATATAGAGCTACCATGGTTATTTAGTCAATGTGAATCCCTTAAAACTGTTTTAGAAAAGAAGCTAAAATATTACCCTATTGAAATACTTTCTGGGAGACTAGTTTTTGCACCTTTTAAAGAAAGTGGATATGCATGCAATTTTAGAATGCATTAATAAAGAAAAAAATAATGAAAGAAAAATGTTCTGGACCAAAAAAATATATACCACTGAAATTTAGCATTTGACAAAGCTGTGGTTTTGTACTGACTTTAATTTTTGGTCTTTAAGGATTACTAATAGAATGCAGTAAAAAGTTCCATTGCTCTCTTTTGGCAAAGACACACATTTAAACAGAATGACAAAATGCAATACAAACTTCAAGGTGAACTTTAGAATTACTGGATATGCAGGATTTTACCATGAATTGATGTGCCAAGCTTGTTAGTATTCCCAGCCCAGTCTCTACATAAACAATGTTACCTCGTCTTGTGATTCTGGAATTGTTTAATTGAAAATGTGCAGGCTTTCTGTTCTGAACACAGCATAAGAAATAAAGGAGTCAGTGACCTATAGAATGCATTATCATTTTCCTCTTGATAATATCAAGCAAATGAAGCAGCCCAAAGTGGAAGATAAAAAAGCAACCCATATTTTGGGGGATCAGAAATAGGGAAAAAGATAATAAGCTCTAGAATGTAGTCAGGACACCATGAATAAGGCATCATAAAACCTCCAGCATGCTTAGGTGTGGCAATATTATGTGGCTTGTGCTAGCGATTTATGTTAAGCAAAAAATTAACATTGGACAATAAATTTCTTTTGGGTATTACCTTGTAACTATACTCACTATGTAAGTTGCATTTCTTAAACTTACCACTGGTTTGACAATGTTAATTTGATCAAAGAGAAATCCACTAGATATAAGTGTATAATAACTGAGAAATGAGATTATTAATGTTTTGGGGGAATATAGGAAGTAGGTAAAATTACTGCTGAGAGGGTTAATAGGTGACATCAAATATTCATTATTTTACCTTTTTGTTCCCAAGTATAGGCAGTTGTAAGTGTGCTAACTATGTCAGTTTTTGCTGACATGGTTTAAATTTCACAATGCAAGAACTTTTTCTGGTTACGATAGAGATGTGGCTACACTTAGAAAATCAGAGTTTCATCTGACAGTAGAAAAGGCATAATCTGCTTTCTTTCTCATGTTTACAAGAGGCTTAAGAAAAGGGTTGGTGGGGCCAAATAAGATTTAAAAAATCTTCTCTTTACTCTTTTCTTCAATTTTGCAATGATTGGTGTACTTGTACATGGTCACTTCTCAGAAATGTATTAGCATTAGGTGTTGATAAAATAATCAGTAGAAATTCTGTATCCTAACATCCCTTTTCAGGTTCATATTCAATTTAATAGCAGATAAAATTGGTCTTTTTCTTTAAGTTTTTAGTTTAGCCTTATTCATTTTTTTAGTAGTAACTCATGTCCCATAATATAAAAATAAGTAAGAGTCTATATTTTTCTGTCAATTCATTTTTACATTTCACTGACTGGATAGGAAAATACATATAGTTCTCACTCTCGAGGCCATACAACTTTGGATCTATTTGTGAGGAACTAGAAGTAGGAATAGGTGAAGATTACAATTGGGAGAGAGAAACCAACTGGGAGATGTCAGTGGGCGGTGAGGGAGTGAGTATAGAGTTAATTGCTTAGTTAAGGTGGCAGGGGGAACCTGAAAGTCAAAAGGGATAAATCTATGATTCAGGCTATCATGGGAATGGGAGTGAATTCAGAATAGAAGGAAAAAAAAATAAAATGAGTCAAATCCAAACCAATCATCCGCAGCTACCACATAGCAAGGGTGTGTCCAAGAAAATTTGTGAGGGATGTAAATCTAGTTGGTAGTTCTTCTCAATTGATCCATGAACAGATAGCTTTGTTCCTGTATGGCTCTAAAGATATCCCTTGTATTTTTGATATTGCCTAGTGAAGTAACTAGGACTCCAGGTTCACCATTTCAAGTCTGTTGTCCGCCCTGTTCCTGGGTGACTCAGGTCTCTTCATTGCTTTTCTGTGCCACCAATGGGATTTATATGGCCGATTGACAGCAGCAGCTACTTCAGAGTTTATTTTCTTGACCTTGCTGCTTGTGATGGTTCATTTAAGATGTCAACTTGATTGGATTGAGGGATGGCTAGATGGAGGGCGAAGCATTGTTTCTGAGTGTCTGTGAGGGTGTTTCTAGAGGAGATGAACATGTGAATCAGTGAACTGAGAGAGGAAGACTTGCCTTCACATTGGGGTCTGGCTGGAACAAACCTGCAGAGGAAAGGGAATTTTCTCTTTCTACTTTCTCTCTCCCTTTTAGAGCAGGACACATTTACTCCTTCTACCTTTGGATGTCAGACTCCAGGTTCTTTGGCTTTTGAACTCTGAGACTTGCACCAGCAGCCTCTCAGGGGTTTCTTGGGCCTGACTAGGGACTGCACTGTAGGCTTTCGTGGTTCTGAGGCCTCAGACTTGGACTGATCCATGTTACCAGTGTTTAGCCAATGCTGCTGGCATCTCCAGCTCTATAGCTTGCAATTGCCCTATTGGGACTACTCCATCTCTGTGATTGTGTGAACTGATTCCCTCTAATATATCCCCTTCCATATATCCTGGTTTTGTCTCTCTGGAGAACTCTGATCAATACACTGCTCCTGTCCATTCCTTTGGCCGTATGCTCCAGCTCTGTCCTTTCTGAGAAGAGGGAGTGGTATATACTCTGACCTATAATGATAACAAATTACTAGGTTCTTTAAGGATTGCCAGCTCTTAGATTTTAATGTCTTTTGACCTTTTTTTTTTAATGAGACAGGGTCTTGCTCTGTCTTCCATGCTGGAGTGCAGTAGCGTGATCACAGCTTACCGTGGCCTCAACCTCCTGAGCCCAGGTAGTCCTCCAGCCTCCCAAGTAGCTGGGACCATAGTCAAGTACGACCACACCTGGGTAATTTGGTTATTTTTTGTAGAAATGGGGTTGCTCTATGTTGCCCAGGCTGGTCTTGAACTCCTGGGCCTGACTCCAGACTTGGCCTCCCGAAGTGCTGAGATTATGGGTGTGAGCTACCATGCCCAGCCGTTTTTGACTGTTTTAATACCTGTATTCTTATGTATAGATTTTAGGATCAGTTTAATAAGTTAAAGAAAATCCTACGTAATTTTCTTTCTTTCTTTTTTTCTTTTTGAGGCGGAGTCTCGCTCTGTCGCCCAGGCTGGAGTGCAGTGGCGCGATCTCGGCTAACTGCAAGCACCGCCTCCCAGGTTCACGCGATTCTCCTGCCTCAGCCTCCCGAGTAGCTGGGACTACAGGCGCCCGCCACCACGCCCGGCTAATTTTTTTGTATTTTTAGTAGAGACGGGGTTTCACCATGTTAGCCAGGATGGTCTCAATCTCCTGACCTCGTGATCCACCTGCCTCAGCCTCCCAAAGTGCTGGGATTACAGGTGTGAGCCACTGCACCCAACCAATCCTACGTAATTTTCATAGAAATTATCTGAACCCAAACTAGGGTGAGTCAGTTGAGGTGAATGAGGTATTTTCCTAGGGTCCAAAATACAAGGAGTTGCCAGAAATATTCAGTAATCAAGATAAATTATATATATATATTTAATATATATTTTATTATATTATTATATATATTAAACATATATATAGTTTATATATTATATATATTAAACATATATATATAATTTATATATTATATATATATATTTTTTTCTTTTCTTTTTTGAGACGGAGTCTCACTCTGTCGCCCAGGCTGGAGTGCAGTGGTGCGATCTCGGCTCACTGCAAGCTCTGCCTCCTGGGTTCACACCATTCTCCTGCCTCAGCCTCCAGAGTAGCTGGGACTACAGGTGCCTGCCACCATACCTGGCTAATTTTTTTGTATTTTTAGTAGAGACGGGGTTTCACCATGGTAGCCAGATGGTCTCGATCTGCTGACTTTGTGATCTGCCCGCCTCAGCCTCCCAAAGTGCTGGTATTACAGGTGTGAGCCACTGCACCCGGCCGATAAATAATATTTAATGCAGCATTTTAAAAATAAAATTTAATGCATAAAGTCTTTAAGTAACAATATATCAACAATTTTGAGAAAGACAGGATCTGTCATAGCATTGTGCTAAACCATATTGGAGGCAGAGGTGAAATGGAAAATCAGGGCTGACCATGTCTTTTATTATTTCCTGAAAATTTTTATATTTTGTTAATCACTGACTTTTTGCATTAATTTTGATTTTTGAAAACAATGCATTAAAATATTACTTATCTTGATGTCTGTATTTTTTGGTGGACTTTAAAATTTTGCACCCTAGCCACGGCACTCACTTACCTCACTCCTCATCCTAGGGCTGGTTCTGAAAAGTACAATATATTTATAGTTTTTTAAAGGAAAAATTAATATCTTTTGTGGCTTAAGTTTCTCATTTATGAATATTATATTTACTTACATCTTTTATATCCTGCAATGTTTTATATTTTTTTCCTTGAAGGTCTTGCATACTTAAAAAATGTATTTCAAGTACCTTATGATAGATATTTCTTGCTCTTTTAAGTGGGTTTTATTTTTTGTTCTTTTTATAAAAGGTTATTTTTGCAGCTCATCGCTGTATCCATGCATCTTCTTCTTCCATTATATAAAGAAATATTGATGCCATCTGTGTATCAGACATTGTTCTAAGTGCTTTGATATAGCAATAAAGAAAACTAGTGAGGGAAGACCAAAAATAATCAAATAAGTCAATAAAAAGAAAAGGTCAAGTAATAAAAAGCATTGTGAAAAAGTTAAAACAAGGTGAACTGACAGAAAATGACTAACGGTGTGGCAAAGATTGGGTTGTCTGTGTAGGTTTCATATAAGTTGAGACCTGAATGTCAAGAAGGAGGTGCATATCTGAAGGTCTAAGAAACATGAGATAAACTCCACAGGATATTTGAGTAATATCAAGATGCAAGTTGGGCATCTTGACTGTTTACTTCCTTAGGTTTACTTTCTTCTCTAGAACTGGACACTGCTTTTTTATTCTTTCTCTCATTTTACTTATTCATTATTCACTAAACCAAAAATATGTATTAACAGTTTACTGTGCACCATTCCCACTTTTAGTGCTAAAACATCTTTGAAAATTAAACTATTGATAGGCTAGCAATGAAAAATGAGAAATTGAAATTTAATAAGTACCACTACAAGAATATAAAATACATATAAATCTTACAAAATATATTCAGGATCTACATGCTGAGAACAATAACATACTGATGAATGAAATCAAAGACCTAAATAAAAGATAAGCCATATTCATGTACTGGAAGACCCAATTTTGTTCAGATCTTAATTCTTCCCAAATTGATCTATAGAGTCAATGAAATCACAATCAAAATTATGATAGGATATTTTTATAGAAACTAATGAGCTGATTCTGGAATTTATATGGAAAAACAAAGGAGGTATAGTAGACAAAACAATTTTGAAAAAGAACCAAGTTGGAAGACATGAAAAGATGCTGAAATCATTAGTCATTAGGGAAATACAAATGATAACTACAATGAGATTTTTCTATTTGTATATTAGAATGGCTAGGATTAAAGACAAACAAATAAAAAAACTGACATTATTAAGTCTTGGTGAGGATGTGGAATAACTCTTATACATTGCTTGTGAGGATGTAAAATAGTGACACCATTTTGGAAAATAGTTTGGAAGTTTCTTATATAGTTCGACATAAACTTACTATATCATTCAGCAGTCCTACTCTTAGCTACATACACAAAAACCTGTATATGAATGTTATGAATGTTTATAACAGGTTTTTTTGGTAATTGCCCAAAAGCGGAAACAACTCAAATCCTCCTCAACTTGGGACTAGTTAAGCAAATGGTGATGTAATCATACAATGGAGTATTCTTTAGCAATAAAAAGAAACAAACTACACAAAACAAAATAGATGAGTTTCAAATACATTATGCTAAGAGAAAAAAGCCAGACTCAAATGGTTACATACTGGCTGACTTCATTTATATGATGTTCTGGAAAAAGTAAAACTATAGAAACAGAAAACATTGGTGGTTGTTATAGTCTAGGGGTGGAGGAGGGTTTCTTTTTTTCTTCTTCTTTTCTTTACAGTAAGTCATGGGGGCATTTTTTTGAATGATGTAGCTGTCCTATATCTTTTTTTTTTTTTTTTTTTTTTGAGATGGGGTCTCTTTGTGTCGCCCAGTCTGGAGTGTAGCAGCGTGATCTCAGCTCACTGCAACCTCTGCCTCTCGGGTTGGCTTCAGCCCCCTGAGTAGCTGGGATCACAGATGTGCACCATCATTTTTTATTTTTGGTAGAGATGGGGTTTCACCATGTTGGCCAGGCTGGTCTTGAACTTCTGACCTCAGGTGATCCACCTGCCTTGGCCTCCCAAAGTGCTGGGATTAGAGGTGTGAGCCCCTGCTCCTGCCTCCTATGTCTTGATTGTAGTGTTGGTTACATGACTATATATGTTTGTCAAAACTTTCAGGGTCAGTTTTACTGTATGTAAGTTATGCCTTAATTTTCAAAAAACAAAAATAAATTATAGAGGTATTAGAATACAGTTTTCTTGTCTTTTTTTTGTGGTGTTTATGCAACAACCAACTACAATAAAATTTGGTGGTCTGTTAAACTTTATTTTTATTTTTTAATTTGTATAAATTTATGTGGTACAACTACAAGTTTGTTACATTCATAGGTTACATGGGGGTTAAGTTAGGACTTTAGGGAGTGTCCATCACCCAAATAATGTACATTATATCCATAAAGTAATTTTTCATCCTCCACCCCTCCCATGCTCTCACCCTTCTGAATCTCCATTGTCTATCATTCCACTCTGTACGTCTGTGTATACACATTGTTTAGTACCCACTTATGATGAGAAAAATGCAATATTTGACTTTCTGTGTCTGGCTTGTTTTACTTATGATAATGACCTCTAGTTCTATCCATATTGTTGATTGCATTCTTTTTAATGGATGAATAATATTCTATTGTGTATGTTTATCACATTTTCTTTATTTAATCCTCCACTGATGGACACTTAGGTTGATTCCATATATTTGCTGTTGCGAATAGTGCTGTGATAAACAAATGAGTGCAGGTATCTTTTTGATAAATTTCTTTCTTTTCCTTTCGGTATATGTCCAGTAGTGGGAGTGCTGGATTGAATGATAGTTCTATTTTTAACTCTCTGAGAAATCTCCATACAGTTTTTCATAGAGGTTGTACTACCACAAATAGCGTACATTTCCACCAACAGTGTATAAAATGTCCCTTTTCTCTGCATCTTTGTCAACATCTGTTATTTTCTGTCTTTTTATTAATAGCCACTCTGACTGGGGTAAGATGATATTTCATTGTGGTTTTAATTTGCATTTCTCTGATGATTAGTGATGTTGAGCATTTTTTAATATACTATTGCCATTTGTATGTCTTTTGTTAAAAGAAAGTCAATTCATGTTCTTTGTCCACTCAAACTTCATTTAAAAAAATTGCTGCCTGAAATGCAAAGGTCTGGGAGCCATTGGTTTAGAACACTGCTTCTCAAAATGTGATGTCTAGACTAGCAGAATCAACATTACCTGGGAGCTAGATAGAAATGTAAATCCTCTGGCCCCACCCACCAAATCAGAAACTTTGGGGTTGGGGTCCAGTTGTCTGTTTTAAGAAGTCTGCCAGGTGGTTCTGAGGCACACTAAGGTTTGAGAGTCAACATGATGGTTCCTCTGCTTCGTGTGGCTTAGTATAGTACAGGCTGAGGAATTTAAAAAAAAACTAAAAACACCTACTTTTGAATTCTGGGTTTTTTCATTGTGTCAAGTATTTAATCCTTAGGTTTGATTTTTCTCATCTCTAAAATGAGGATTTTAATACCTACTTTCTAAGATTGTTGTTAGGGCATCAATAGAATAATGCCAGTAAAGTGCTTAGCACAGTCTGAAACACAGCAAAAGCTCAGTGTGATCTGATTCACATTCTTGAACTTCTTGTTTGTTTTTTGATGTATGCACAATCAAATTCATCTTCAGCAGGCATTTCAAACTGCGACCTGGCTATTGCCATTGCAGTTATATGGGCAAGAAGCTCAAAATTCTTCATTAGATGTTTGCCTTTTCCCTAGTGTTTTCCCACAGACTTTCTGTTTGTTCTTGCTTTTTCTTAGACTAAGACAAAATGTTACTTGAGGAGAGAGACTGTGGTGTTTTGGAGGCTGAATATATTTCCATTTCACAGAACAATTATCTTTGTTTGCTTATTTATATTTTAGTTAATCATTACTTGGGCATTTGCAAAGGTTGAATTAAAAATCAATTTAAATGAAAAATTAGCTGACTAACCTAGGGCAGAATATTCGCTAGCAGATATGAATATGAAACCTTGTTCTCCTGATTCACAGTCTACTTCCATAATCACATTACAAGTTTAAAATGTAGTGTTATAGGTGAGTGTGTGTGTGTGTGTGTGTGCGCGCGCGCGCGCTGAGAGAAGAATTTATTGGAAAAGGAAAGAGAGAACCACAGGGAAAAGAATATATAACTATCAAAGACAAGCAGGTAAAATTTAAAAAGTGCTATCTCTTAATTTCTCAAATATAGGGAATTAATAATTTTGTACCAGTTTATCAAGTGGGAATTACTGATTTTCAGGGAAAATGTCTTTTTTTTTTTTGCAGCTAGAGTTGAGAGGTACTTGATATTATCCTTCATCTTCTGTTTCCTGCAGGTGGCAAGAGTTGTTTAATTATTCATATGACTTAGTAATGTAACCATTTCACAAATAGGACTGACCTGCCAGGATATTTCACTAGATCGTTTTCACTCAATATGCTGGGGACTTACCTCCTTCTCTTGATTGGGAAAGTAGCAAAATAGCAAATTTATTTCCTTTTTGAGAATGTTGACTTGTATATCTACTTCAATCAAATTTGAAAGTAAAAGTGGAATCTTTTGCATTGATGACTTTTGATTCCACCTTGACTTGTTCCCCTTTGCATGGAAACTGTTATTGTGCTGTGATAATACTAATAGTAAATAAATACCAGTATATGGTTCCTACTTGAGATAGTATAATCAGCAACATATAAAGCCTATTTGAGTAGAATTTGAGAGGGCAGTTGAGTCATTTTCCACACTTGATAAGATATAAAGAAACAGTCTTTAAAAATTATTATTACTTTATTTTATTTTTCCATAAGTTATTGGGGTACAGGTGGTATTTGGTTACATGACTAAGTTCTTTAATGGTGATTTGTAAGATCCTGGTGTACCCATCACCTGAGCAGTATACACTGCACCATATATGTTGTCTTTTATCCCTCGACCCCCTCCCACTCTTCCTCTCAAGTCCTCAAAGTCCATTCTATCATTCTTATGCCTTTGTGTCCTCATAGCTTAGCTCCCACATATCAGTGAGAACATACAATGTTTGGTTTTCCATTCCTGAGTTAAAGAAGCAGTGTCTTTTGCAGAAGAGTCAGCATATCACTTGAGCATATCATTTGTTTTTCCTTCTCCCAAAGGGAAAAAACATCCTAAAGAAATGGATATTTTCTCAACCATTTTGATCAATAATTGGGTAACTTACTGCATGTTAAGAGCTCTGTAAGAAAATATATTCTTCCCGTTTGATAGTGTGGTTGCCAAGGAGAGCTGTTCATATCTCCCTTTAAGAGAGAACTTGCTATTCTGCTACAGAGTGTGGGAAATTGACACCCTTCCTCTACAGTATTTTCTGGATTCTCCTCAGCTTTTGTTCAGGCTGAGGACACACTTTGTAAGTAGTCCACAGCAGTGACAGCATCACAGGGTTACTAGGGTCTGGTCATTTGTATTCAACATGAGATGAGACACCTCTAAAGGGTGATCTTTGCTTCAGAGTTCCCCACTGGGTTGACTGAGATTTAGGCTGATCTGTTTGATTATCTGAAGCTCTCCCTGACAAATCTTGCTTTTTGTTTTACCTTTCACAGACATTACTTCCCAATAAAACACTTGCACTTCTCACTTGTCATCTTGGCATATGCTTCCAGAAGAAAACAATTGACACAGGGCTGATTGCTATAAAATTAAACAAGAAAATAGTATTTACCTTAAAGAATAAATTTCCCTTTCACCAGAACCCTTTCTATAGTTCCATCTCCTTCCCCAATCCAAATACATCTGCCTTTGCATGCACAGTTATTTTACATAGTAAGATCTTGCAGTCAAGTGTGGTGATTAAGAGCAGATTAAATGGCTGGGTGTGATGGCTCACGCCTGTAATCACAACACTTTGAGAGGCCGAGGCGGGCAGATCATAAGGTCAGGAGATCTAGACCATCTTGGCTAACACAGTGAAACCCTGTCTCTACTAAAAATACAAAAAATTAGCTGGGCATGGTGGCGGGCACCAGTAGTCCCAGCTACTCGGGAGGCCAAGGCAGGAGAATGGTGTGAACCTGGGAGGCAGAGCTGGCAGTGAGCTGAGATCGCGCCACTGCACTCCAGCCTGGGAGACAGGGCGAGAGTCCGTCTCAAACAAACAAACAAACAAACAAAAAAAAAAAACAGATTAGAATCCAACTGTAGGGATAGCAGCCCTGATTCACAAGTTATTAGCCGTGTGATTGCAATAAGCCTCAGTTCCCTCATTTGCCAAAAGGAAAGTAATGATGCCACTTTATGTGAATGTGAATATTAGCAAGAATAAATGAATTATTATACACAAAGCATTTAGAAGAATATCTGCCACAAGTAAGTGCTAAGTGAGTTGCTATTAGTAATAGTAGTATGACCTTGGACTTTGGTTTTTACACTTAGCAATATATAGTGGGAGTCTTTCTGCCCTTCTCATCTACTTTCTTTTGTGAGGAAACTGCAGTTATTTAAAATATAAAATTTAGGTTGGGCTCCACGGCACATGCCTGTAATCTCAGCACTTCAGGAAGCCAACACAGGTAGATCACATGAGGCCAGGAGTTCGAGACCAGCCTGGCCAACATGGCATAACCCTGTCCATACTAAAAATACAAAAATTAGCCGGGCATGGGGACATATGCCTGTGATCTCAGCTATGTAGGAGGCTGAGGCAAGGGAATTGCTTGAACCCAGGAGGCAGAGGTTGCAGTGAGCCAAAATCATGCCACTGCACTCCAGCCTGGGAGACAGAGAGAGACTCCATCTAAAAAAAAAAAAAAAAAAAAGAAAAACTCAAAAAAGTATAAAATTTGATTTTTTTTTTTTTAAAGAGATGGGGAGTGGGAGGGTAGTCTCTCGCCATGTTGGTAGGACTGGTCTCAAACTCCTGGGCTCAAGTAATCCTCCTGCCTCAGCCTTCAAAATTGCTGAGATTATAGGTGTCAGCTACCATACCTGGCTGAAATTTGGTGAGTTTTGATATAAGTATACACTTGTGAAAACATCACCACAATCAAGACAGTGAACATATTCTTCACTCCTGAGGTTTTCTCATGTCCCTTTGTAATCCTTTACTTCTACTCTTCCCCACTCCTCTCTCCCAGGCAATAACTGATCTGCTTTGGTCATCATAGTTTAGTTTGGACTTCCTAGATTTTATATAAATAGAATTATATAGCATGTGCTCTGTTTTGACAGATTCTGTTGCTCAACCTAATTATATATTCATTCATAATTTTGCATGTATCAATAGTTCATTTTTTTCTATTTGTGACTAGTACTCCATTGTGTAGACATACAATGATTATCCATTCACCTGTTGATGGACGTTTGGGTTGTGTATTAGTCTGTTTGGGCTGTCATAACAAAATATCATTGACTAGGCAGCTTAAAGGACAGAAAGTTATTTTGTCACAATTTTGGAACCTGATAAGTCCAATGTTGCAGGAAGTCAGGGACCTTGAGTGGAGGGACTGGCTGGAGCCACGGCAGAAGAACATAAATTGTGAAGACTTCATGGAAATTTATCAGTTCCCAAAATTAATACTTTTATAATTTCTTATGCCTGTCTTTACTGCAATCTCTGAACATAAATTGTGAAGATTTCATGTGCATTTATCACTTCTCTAATAATACTCTTATAATTTCTTGTGCCTGTCTTTACTTTAATCTCTTAATCCTATTATCTTCATGCTGAGAATGTGTGTCACCTCAGGACCACTATTGTACAAATTGATTGTAGAACATGTGTGTTTGAACAATATGAAATCTGATGGTAAAATATGTGTGTTTGAACAATATTTTGAAATTTGGGTGAAATCAGTGCACCCTGAAAAAGAACAGAATAACAGCGATTTTCAGGGAACAAGGGAAGATAACCATAAGGTCTGACTGCCTGCGGGGTCGGGCAGAATAGAACCATATTTTTCTTCTCGCAGGAAGCCTATAGATGGATGTGCGAGTAGGAGAAATATCGCTGAATTCTTTTCCCAGCAAGGAGTAACCCTGGGGAAGGAATGCATTCCTGGGGGTAGGTCTATAGACGGCCGCTCTGGGAGTGTCTGTTTTATGTGGTTAAGGACTGAAATATGCCCTGGTCTCCTGCAGTACCCTCAGGCTTACTAGGATTGGGAAATTCCAGCCTGGTAAATTCTAGTCAGACAGGTTCTCTGCTCTCGAACCCTGGATCCTGTTAAGATGTTTATCAAGACAATGCATGCACAGCAGGACATAGACCCTCATCAGTAATTCTAATGTTGCCTTGCCTTGTGATCTTTATTGCCCTTTGAAGCATGTGATCCTTGTGACCTACTCCCTGTTTGTGTACCCTTTCCCCTTTTAAAATCCCTAATAAAAACTTGCTGATTTTACAGCTCGGGGTCGCCATCATGGTCCTACCAATATGTGATGACACCCCCAGAGGCCCAGCTGTAAAATTTCTCTCTTTGTACTCTTTCTCTTTATTTCTCAGACCAGCTGACACTTAGGGAAAATAGAAAGAACCTATGTTGAAATATTGGGGGCTGGTTCCCCTGATAGTCCAAGACCAAGGTACTGGCAAATTTGGTTTCTGATGAGGGCTCTCTTCTTGGCCTTCAGACAGCTACCTTCTCACTATGTCTTTATATGGCCTTTCTTTGGCATGTGCACATGGAAGGGGTAGAGATCTCTCTTCTCTTCCTCTTCTTATGAAGCCATGTGAAGACATGGGGAAAGTAATGATGCCACCTTATATAAATATTAGCAAGAATAAATGAATTATTATACATAAAATATAAGCTTTTGTTTTATATCTAAAAACTCTTGGGCTATCTAAAGGTTACAAGGACTTTCTCTTATGTTTTCTTAGCTAAGTTTTGTTACAATTTTAAGTTTAGTATTTACACCTGTGCACCATTTTTGGTTAATTTTTGTACGTGGTATAATGTATAGGCCAAAGTTTATTTTTTTGCTTATGGATATCCAATTCTTTCTTCTACCACCATTTGTTGAACACACTCTTTTGTTCTACTAAGTTGTCTTTGCCCCATGCCTATCTTTATGCCAATACCATATTGTCTGGATCCATGTATCTTTATAATAAATCTTGAAATCAGAATGTTAGCCCTCTAATTTTGTTTTCTTTTTTAAAAGTTGTTTTGGCTTAGAATGATGACTTTAAGGGTAGGTGGCAAAGGGAGAATTTAGCTTACTGCATTATTTCTCAAAGAGAATCAAGTCTAATTAAAATGTCACTTTTGCAGGAGAGCTTCATTCTGGGTCTTGGATATGTAATTGTTGAGCAGAATGCTTCATTGCAGTGACATCTGTGGTGGTAGCAGGTGCTTCCCTGGCCACCAGCCTGTTGAGAGAATTTGTTGATACAAACAATGTAGTTGGTAGTCAGTGACTCAAATCGCTTAGCATAAGGTCTGAACTTCAATTTTCTGAAACACTTTCTGTCTCATGGCAGGTTGATGGGAAGCTCACAGATACTGTGTGCTGTAGTCTTTAGCACCTTTAACAAGAAGATGCCACTAAATCCTCAATACCTGAGTTGCAGTGATGCTGCTCAGAACTTGCCTTGTTGGGACATTATTGGCTCCATTACTACTACCACTTCTCAAAAGCCACATTGCTGCAAATTGAAGAAACAAACCCCAAACTCAACCCTAAGTCAATACCCAGACAGAGTTTGAAGGACATGAAGTTCTCTCAGAGCTTTGGTAGTGAATTGGTGGAAGTGGGGCAGGTGAGTCTCTGGAGAAGGGTGTTGTGGAGAAGGTTGAGTTACTACTGATGGTGCTGTCATTAAACAGCCAGCTGGAGGTAGCAGGGGTTGGCTAGAGAGAGCAAACCCAGCTGCCAGTTTATTGGAAGAATGTTCTTAGGTTCACTTTCCTATAACATTTAGGAAGAGGGGATCAAAGATAATCTTAGAGGCTGGGCACTGTAATATCCCAGGTAAGACTGAAACCAGTCAAAGCATCTGGACAGGCAAGGACATCTGACAGTAGATGATTAATGAGCTGAAGATGGGGAGAAGCTGTGAGAAACAAGAATTGATTACAGCAAATGCATAGTATCTGGTGCAGGAGGTTCATGGATCAATTAACACAGTCAGTGGATTTGATATAGTTTGGTTAGGGAAAAAATATGCTTTATAAATAAGGCATTTAAAGGATCTTGTTGCCAAACACCTGAAAAAATATATAATTATATTCAAATTGATTCTGCAAACAGCGAATCCTGACTGGGAGCTGGGAGTACAGTGATGAATGGTAAGTCTTGGACTTTTGTCTTTAAGGAACTGTATAAAAGGCCAGGGTGCCTTTTGGTTCCTTTCTTCTTCATGCAGCTGTGTGGAGCAACACTTGTGACTGAGGAATCTCATATTTTTCGGGGCCCATTACTGGAACTAGTCTTTATTAGAGAGTCAGACAGGAAGGGAGCAGAGCTCAATATGGAAAACCAGTCAAGTGCTTTCAGGCTCTTTTGCCTTCATTCCCCTCCTTCTTCCTCTAATGGCTTGCCTGGAAGTTGACAGTAAAAGAAAAAAAAAGAAAAAGGAAAAGAAAAGAAAACAATCAAAAGTTAACATTATACACTGTTCAATGTAGCTCTCAGAGAAAACTCTTTTTGTTTAGTGTGAATAATTGTTCCTTTTTGTTGTTGTTGTTGCATTTAATGGCTTTGACTTCTCAGTTTTAGTGAGCTGCCAATTTTCACTCCTAGGGAGGAAGAAAAGAATGAAAGAAATATGTAAACAAACAGGCAAACAAGTAAACACACAGGAAAAAGTAAAATGCTCAGCATTTAGATTAGAGATGTTAGTTGATCACTGTGTTTGTGAACCAAAATTAGATACACATCAGATGTTTCTCAGATTTTGAGATGAAAATAATTTTATTTATCACAGGGAATTAAGCCTCTCAAAAGAGACTGTCTAAAAGTGCTGGATATATTAGAAAAGGGCTGCCACATCCTACTGATAGCTGATAGTTATATAGCCCTGGATATTTGCTGAAAGTGATTAGGTATGATTTGGATAAATCATATAAAATTTAAAATTACAAAAATTCAATTGGCAAATCTCATAGACTTCCTTCTAGCCTAACCAAACTCCTGAAGAAAAAACTATAATCCATGTTAAAATGTAAATAATAATAAAAGCAACTATTGTCAGATGCAATAGAAATCTTCTTCTAAAGATTATTACCCCAAGAAATTCTTGCCTTATACATATGAGGGAGGTGACATATTAGATGGAGAAACTCAGCAATGACTTGACCGAGGACACATGTTAAGCTTGTGTCATATAAACAATTAAGCTGCAGTTTACAGATTCCCATCCTGAAGGCTCAGTTGTACAATGAATGAAATCAGCAAGTCCATCTATGCCAATTGACTCTCTTTCTTATCATAACTCTTTAAGTCTAGCATTATTAGTTTCATTTTTCTGAAGAGGGAGTTGTGGCTTAAAGCAATGAAATAACTTGCTTAAGATCTGATGTTCACTAAGGTATAGAAATAACTTTAAACCCATGACCAACTTTCCTGAATTCTTTATCTTTCTTCCTGTCTGCTAAGTTTCAAGAACTCTGCATGGGGCAGATTTTGTGTAAAGCCATTGTTGCTTTCAGTAGAGGACTCTGTTGTGTGTTCCCTGGCACATTAAAAAATATCCATCATTCAGATTGGCATGGCCATGGCAGTTACTGAATCTCTCAAGCAAGCAAGGTCATAGATTTGCAAGAGAATGCTTACATCTTCTTCATTCTTGATTCCAAGGGCCAATGTATTCATAGTATTTAATTTATTAAGGTCTGTCCAAATCCCACAAATAATGTAGAGAGAATATAAACAGATTTTATTGATGTGTGTTCTTTCTAGTTCAATTACTGGTAAATAAAATCCAAATACAGATAATCTAATATTATATCATGCTTAATATCTGACTTGCCTTTGTTTAAATTTAATAGAAATATTTTAAAATTAAACTTTTGTAGAAATAAGATATACATATAATTGCTTTATATCTGAAACATCTACTCTTAAATATTATTACTTGCAATTGGCAGTTCACAGGTATGGCAGTGCATTAAAATAAGAATAATCAATAACATTTCTTATTTCAGCCTTTAGGATACATATCCTAGAGTTGAAGCAAGTATTTTTGTTTCTGTTTTCCTCATTTGATTCAGGATCTTCATCAATCTCAAATTTTCTCTGTTGTAATTTCTCCATTTCCAATTTGAAAATACCAATAAAATGACTTGCCCTCAATTAAGCTGATTTTTAGATTGATGATGATATGATTTGGGGAAATACAGAGTGCTAGATATATAACAATAGCAATAAAAATAAAAAGAATATTAAGTTTGTTTCCAATAAAAGAAAAAAAGGAAAAGTCTGTATAATTGTTCATTACTGGTAATTTATATTTAAAAGTTAGAGGTAGAAAACACTAAAGACACTAAATATTAGTTGTGTTCAAATCCACTTGTTCTGTTTCTGTAGTATAGAATATCCCTTTATCAAGTGTTTCTTCTGTCTCTTTCTCTGTCTCTCTGTGTATATATACATGTGTATGTTGGATAACTGATAAAAACAAAGAAATAAAACTTAATATTAATAATAAACTGAAAGGGTCAGAGAAAATGAAAATTTTATTAATAATTGGAGAAAATTAATTCACATAGAAACAATTATACGTTATATACTATTATGTTTGCTTTCATAATTATCATCATGTTAAGTAATATTTTCAATATCCTACTCTGTCCCATTCAAAACCTCAATATCGGGTATAAGCAAGTTCATAGTAATGAAAGGTTAATTAATGGCATTTTTAATCACTCAGTTATGCATATAGAATGATGTATCTGTATTTACCATATGCCTGCTATTCTGAAGAGTCCTTTCAAATGCCTAGTATAAGTACATGCAAATTATAGAAAACAAAGTCAATTTTTTGTAAATTATAATCAATGAAGAATCATTATATTTCTTTTACTAGGTAAGGGGCATCTCAGTATAGAAAAAGGTGCTTAGGCTCCCCCATTTATTAGCTATTTAACCAAATTTTATCACCTGGAATTAACAAAATCTACATGCCTTTTTATTTTGTGACTATTGAAAATAAGGCATTACATAATTACAACCAAATGATCTCTGACAAAGTTAACAGAAATAAACAATAGGGAAAGGACACTCTATTCAGGAAATGGTGCTGGGAAAATTGGATAGCCATATGCAAAATAATGAAACTGGACCCATATCTCTCACCATATACAAAAATTACACAAGATGGATTAAAGACTTAACTGTAAGACCTGAAACTGTAAAAATCCTAGAAGAAAACCTAGGAATAACTCTTCTGGACATTGGCCTATGTGAAGAATTTATGACAAAGTCCTCAAAAATAAATGCACCAAGTACAAGAAAAATATAAATGGAACTTAATTCAACTAAAAGCTTCTGCACAGCAAAAGAAATAATCAACAGAGTAAATAGAAGCCTACAAAATGGGAGAAAGTATTTGCAAACTATGCATGTGACAAAGGACTAATATCCAGAATCTACGAGAAACTCAACTCAACAAAAAAGAAAAGCAACCCCATTTAAAAGTGGACAAAGGGCATGAACAGACATTTCTCAAAAGAAGACATACAAGTGGCCAACAAACATATGAAAAAATGCTCAACATCACTAATTGTATTAGTTTGTGTTCATGCTGCTGATAAAGACATACCTGAGACTGGGCAATTTACAAAATAAAGAGGTTTAGTGGACTTACAGTTCCAAGTGGCTGGGGAGGCCTCAAAATCAAGGCAGAAGGCAAAGGTGCAAGTCACGTCTTACATGGATGGCAGCAGGCAAAAAGTGCTTGTGCAGGGGAACCCCCCTTTTAAAACCATCAGATCTTGTGAGACTTATTCACTATCATGAGAACAGCGTGGGAAAGACCTGCCCCAGTGATTCATTTACATCCCATCGGGTCCCTCCCACAACATGTGGGAGTTCAAGATGGATTTGGGTGGGGACACAGCCAAACCATATCATTCTATCCCTGGCCCCTCCCAAATCTCGTGTCCTCACATTTCAAAACCAATCATGCCTTCCTGACAGTCCCCCAAAGTCTTAACGCACTTCAGGATTAGTTCAAAAGTCCACAGTCCAAAGTCTCATCTGAAACAAGTCAAGTCCCTTCCACTTATGAGCCTGTAAAATCAAAAGCAAGTTAGTTACTTCCCAGATAAAATGGGGGTACAGGCATTGGGTAAATACAGGCATTCCAAGTGGGAGAAATTGGCCAAAACAAAGGGGCCACAGGCCCCATGCAAGTCTGAAATCCAGCAGGGCAGTCAAATCTTAAAGCTCTAAAATGATCTCCTTTGACTCCATGTTTCATATCCAGGTCATGCTGATGCAAGAGGTGGGCTACCTTGGTCTTGGGCAGTTCTGCCCCTGTGGCTCTGCAGGGTACAGCCTCCCTCCTGGCTGCTTTAATGGGCTGGTGTTGAGTGTCTATGGCTTTTCCAGGTGAACGGTGCAAGCTGTTGATGGATCTACCATCCTAGTGTCTGGAGGACAGGGGCCTTCTTCTCACAGCTCCAGTAGGCAGTGCCCCAGTAGGAACCCTGTGTGTGGGCTCTGACCCCACATTTCCCTTCTGCATTGCCCTAGCAGAGGTTCTCCATGACTGCCCTGGCCCTATAGCAAACTTCTGCCTGGGCCCTCCAGGCATTTCCATACATCATCTGAAATCTAAGTAGAGGTTCCTAAACCCCAATTATTGACTTCTGTGTACCCACGGGCTCAACACCACATGGAAGCCACCAAGGCTTGGAGCTTGCACCCTCTGAAGCCATAGCCTGAGCTCTATGTTGGCCCCTTTCAGCCACAGCTGGAGTGGCTGGAATGCAGGGCCCCAAGTCCCTAGGCTGCACACAGCATGGATACCCTGAGCCTAGCCCATGAAAACATTTTTTCCTGTTAGGCCTTAGGATCTGTGATAGGAGGGGCTGACGTGAAGACCTCTGACATGCCCTGGAGATATTTTCCCCATTGTCTTGGTGATTAACATTTGACTCCTGTTAAATATGCAAATTTCTGCAGCCAGCTTGGATTTCTCTTCAGAAAAAGGGATTTTCTTTTCTATCGCATTGTCAGGCTGCAAATTTTCCAAACTTTATGCCCTCCTTGTCTTATAAAACTAAATGCCTTTAACAGCACTGAAATCACCTCTTGAATGCTTTGCTGCTTAGAAATTTTTTCTGCCAGATACCCTAAATCATCCCTCTCAAGTTCAAAGTTCCAGAAATCTCTAGGGCAGGGGCAAAATGCTGCCAGTCTCTTTGCTAAAACATAACAAGAGTCACCTGCACTTCAGTTCCCAACAAGTTCTTCATTTCCATCTGATACCACCTCAGCCTGGATTTCATTGTCCATATCATCATCAGCATTTTGGTCAAAGCCATTCAACAAGTCTCTAGGGAGCTCCAAACTTTCCCACATTTTCCTGTCTTCTTCTGAGCCCTCCAAACTGTTCCAACCCCTGCCTGTTACCCAGTTCCAAAGTTGCTTCCACATTTTCGGGTATCTACAGCAGCACCCCACTCTGATACCAATTTACTGTATTAGTCCTTTTTCATGCTGCTGATAAAGACATACCTGAGACTGGGCAATTTAGAAAAGAAAAGTTTAAAGGACTCACAGTTCCAAGTGACTGGAACTGGAACTCACAGTTCCAAGTGGCCCCACAAACGTGGCAGAAGGCAAGGAAGAGCAAGTCACGTCTTACATGGATGGCAGCAGACAAAAAGAGAGCTTGTGCTGGGAAACTCCCTTTTTTAAAACCATCAGATCTCGTGAGACTTATTCACTATCACGAGAGCAGCATGGGAAAGACCTGCCCCAATGATTCAATTACCTTCCACCAGGTCCCTCCCACAACACATGGGAGTTCAAAATGAGATTTGGGTGGGGACACAGCCAAACTATATCACTAATAATCAGAGAAATGCAAATGAAAACCACAATGAGGTACCATCTTACACCAGTCAGAAAGGCTATTATTAAAAATTCAAAAAATAAATAGCTGCTTAAACACTGTTTGTTGGAATGTAAATAAGCACAACTTCTATGGAAAATGGTATGGAGATTTCCCAAAGAACTAAAAATAGAACAATTATTTGATGCAGCAATCTCACTACTGTGTATTTACCCAAAGAGAAATAAATCTTTAGATAAAATGACACCTGCACTTGTTTGTTACTGCATTACTCACAACAGCAAAGTCATGGAATCAACCTAAGAGTCTATCAGTTGATAGAGAAAATGGACAGAGAAAATGTGGTATGTATATATACCACAGAATACTATTCAAACATAAAAAAATGAAGTCATGTCTTCTGTGACTCTATGGATGGAACTGGAGGCCATTATCTTACATGAAATAACCCAGAAACAGAAAGTCAAATACCACATGTTCTTACTTCTGAGTGGGAGCTAAAACAATGTGTACACATGACATACAGGGTGGAATAATAGACACTGAAGACTCCAAAAGATGAGAGGGTGAGAAGTGGGTGAGGGATAAAAAATTACCAATTGGGTACAATTTACATTATTTGAGTGATGGTTATACTAAAAGCCAGACTTCATTACTATGCAATATACCTTGCATAGTATACTATGTAGTATACCTTGCAATATGCAAGGTAACAAAAATGCACTTGTGAATTGCTTGAGGCCTTCGAGGCTGCAGCAAGCAGTGATTGTGCCACAACACTCCAGCCTGGGTGACAGAGTGAGACCCTGTCTCAAAAAAAAAAAAATGCACTTTTACTCCGTAAATCTATAAAAATAAGAAATAATGAAAATAAGGTGTTAAATCAACCAATACTTATAAAGAGTCTGAAATGTGCTCAACAGTGTGCAAAGTAATTAACTCAGTCTCTGACATAGAGTAGATGCATAATTAACCTGGAATCTTTATTGATAGCTTAATAAATATTTCTCATAATTAAATTTCTTATGGTTTTGGTTTATCTGTTTTCAGGAGTATACCGGTTATTTTTATTTATTTATTTATTTTTTTTGAGACGGAGTCTCTCTCTGTCGCCCAGGCTGGAGTGCAGTGGGCTGATCTCGGCTCACTGCAAGCTCCGCCTCCCGGGTTCATGCCATTCTCCTGCCTCTGCCTCCTGAGTGGCTGGGACTACAGGTACCCTCCACTGCGCCTGGCTAATTTTTTGTATTTTTAGTAGAGACAGCGTTTTGCCGTATTAGCCAGGATGGTCTTGATCTCCTGACCTTGTGATCCACTCACCTCGGCCTCCCAAAGTGCTGGGATTACAGGCCTGAGCCACCGTGCCTGGCCATGCCGGTTCTTTAAAGTGAAGTTTACCTGGTAACCTTGTTTCTTTTGAGCTTTGATTCTATATGCTTGTGCAAATGTATGGTAGTTTGAATTCTCATCTAAATCTTCCCTCTTCTAGTGAGAGTCATGAAATTTTGCTCTCGTTCAAATGCCCACCATCTAAAATAAATCATTATGACTCTAGTAAAAGCCAAGCAGTCGAAAACCATCCCTTCCCCATCTAGATTTAAAACATTTCGATATTTCATATTTTTTATTTACAAGGGAAACTGTAAGAGTATTTTCAGTGTATGAATATCCCTTTTCTTGTAAATAAAAAAGTGGCAATGCTCACGGGAATTTTCATAAATCATTTATGATTTAAGGAGTAGAAAAAGTGATTTGATTGTAAAAACTGTATGGGATATAGCTGATGAAGACGCATCAAGATGGTACATCAGTGGCTTGAAGAATTTTAAACTAATTGCAAGATTGATTTAAGTTTCACTTAAAGTGACCTTCCTTCATCTCTGGCATGTTAGAGAAGGCAATGAAAAAAAAAGATTATATCCTAGTATGATTTTACAGTTATTTCTTCCTTTGAAACAAAGGTATCTCAGCTTTTGGTGTGTTCAACAAACATGACTAAATGAAGCTAGGCAGTTGTGTATACACACTAAGTATGATATTAAGAGCTGGGGAATTAAAGATTCATGAACCTCATTGGATGGTGAGGTCCTTGCACTGCACATGGTTTGGTACATTGTGCCATGTAATGTCTCCCTACCTGTAAGCTCCTTGAAGACAGACTGTATTTTATATATTTTTATATTCTATATGTTTATGATCCTCATCTATAGCAAGCTGTACATACCTGTTTGTAAACCAATAGTCTGCCCATTGGAGTGAACACATTAAATAAAACCATAGTTTTCATCCATCTTACTGTCTTCATTTTGGCTTTTTTTTTTAGCTTTCTTGTATTCATGGGTCAGGAAGAAAAGCATCTGGATTTCAAAGCTGCTTGTGATACTAGATCAGCAAATGTCCCGTGAGCATTGCCACTCTGCCCTCTCCACGCTGCCTGTGTCACAGCCCATCTGCATGACAGGGGTTCTGTAACTCCCAGCAGTGGAGCCTGATTTCTTTCCAACACTCTTTTTGTCCCGCACGCTTGCTTCTAATTAACCAAAGGTGAAGGACTGTGGCAGTGCTGCCTCTTGTGTCAAATCCATTTATCTATTTTCCTGACACGTCTTGTCAATTAGAGGATCAGAGACACCTCTATGTGGGTGTGTACAGTAAAGGGTGAAAATACCATCTCTGGGGTAGTTGTTGCATTGTGGTCCCATCCATTAACACGTGTTTGTATGTTAGGAGCTTGAGACCTGGAATGGAGCAGAGCCGGGTTCGAATTCTGCCTCTGCTCTTTGCTGGTTGTGTAACTGCAGGGGAATTACTTATCTGCTCCACTCCCCTTTAGTCCTTTTTCTTGATTAAAAAACACACAGGAGACTTAAGCTCTTTGGAACTCAATTTTGTTACTAGCAAAAAAGGAAAAACAGCAGCATCTACCATACAGATTTGTTTTCAGGATTAAATAAAATAATCCATATAAAGTATTTACACTCTGTCTAGTGTAGTTTGCCCTCAATAAAAATGTGTTTGCTATTCTTGCTGTTGTTCCATTCTTTCTGTATGACTTTCGAATTATAATCCATTGTATGACTCTATGCCATCAGTATATAGACCATTTTACAGCTCATTATCAACTTTTCTGCCTCATTCACTTCAATATGATCTGAAATGAATCTTCTCTTTTTCTCTCTCTGGCTTTCTCGTTACTTCAGCTTTTGTAGTTCCTGTGAGTTTTAGGTTTAAGGTAACCTTGAACTCCATTTCCTTATTGCTTTGCCTTTCTCCTTGTGGGCTACTCATTGCCTTTATTTTTGACTTCCTGAATTGGAGACCGTGTACTTGAACTTAATGGAAAGTAAATCTGCTGTAATTCAGAAGCTGCCACCTGTGTGAAGTACTGGCAATAACTGTAGAGACTACACAACTTATAAATCAATAGTGTTCACTTTCCTGTTGTTCTAATTTAAATTTATTTTAGTTAGTCCTTGGACCATACACAATCTCTGAGATCTTCAACTATTATGCTGGCACAAAAGCAATTGCAGTTTTCGATCTCACATTTAAGCTTTGCCATTACTTTCAATGGCAAAAACCGCAATTACTTTTGTACCAACCTAATATTAACCATCTGATGTTTTGAATTGTTGAAAGAGACCATGTCCCTCTCTCCATTAAAAATTCTACTGATGCCAGCACTGTTCATTCTCCTAGTGCCCTGCTCAGTGCAATGTTTAGATAGGGACAGCTGCATGCAGTGAGACTGCTCTTTAGGGGAGTGACCCCCACCTTATGCTGCTCTCTTTTTGTAGGACAATTGTGGGAGTAGCTTGTAAGGGGAACATTCTGAGTTTGGGTGCCAAGCCATCTAAGCTTAAGCAAGATTTATTTAAGAGAGCCTGAGAATGCCTACTGCCCAGCACCTGAAAACTCTGGGGGAAATAGAAATCATGAGAAGACTTTTCTGCTGTTAGTAAGAGCTATTGGTCCCTTCTAGCTCATTGCCAGGCAATTCAGAGAAAATCCCCTATGATAATTCACTGGACAATCCCATGTGCCAGCCACAATTACTTAAGTGTGAGATCTAAAATTAGCAACCAGTTAATTATTAGATTTAAAAATTAATATTTAGTTAATCAGATTTAATAATGACTAATTAATAGATCCAATTACAATTTATGAGATCTCAATAAAGCTGAGCTTAAATTGAATAGGAAGTAGAAATCATGTTAATAATGTGAGGAAATAATGAGATGCACTAAAAGGAGGCTATAAAGTTTTAGAGTTGCTATGATAGGAAATGAGGATCCGCAGAAGATTTCGAGTCAGAAAACTGTACCATGAGACCAGCGTTTAGGGGATTATTGATTCAGTGGCAATTACTGACCCGGCAGAGAAAGGTGAGAGTGAGGGGAACCTGTTGTTGTAGAGCACGGACTAAAAGCAGTAATGGCAGAAATAGAAAGCGTATTAGAAGGAAATAATTGATAGAAATTAGTGATCAGCTGGAATCCAGGAGTGAAGGAGGGATTCTAAGATGGTACCTTTCTAGATGTTAACAGACTGGATTTAGGTAGCTAGTGAGGATCTGACAGAAAAACATGTCAAGTAAACTTATTTGGGAGGAGAGGAAGGCTAAGTTTTAGACACTGGGTGAATCATTGTAGTGGAGGAAATTCACTGAAGGAATGTTTAGAAAGAGAGATAAGAAAACCCAAAGAAAAACTTCAATAATTTCTACTGGTTTTTTTTGTTTGTTTCTTTAAAAATTTTATTTTTAGTTTTCTAGAGTCAGGCAGAAAGAACTGGGTTTTAACCCTGTTCCTATCAGTTACATTTTGTAATTGTCTCTACATTTCATCAAGTTTTAGTTTTCTTATCCATAATATGGGGATGGAATGGATAATAAACATTACCTATTAGATAATGTGTGGGGAATAAATGTGTTATACGACGTAAAGGTATTTCTCAATATTAGGCATAGTCAGCTCCCAATAGGTGGAAACTGATAAAAATATTACATATTCAGTCCTTTGTGAGTACTGGGGAAAGTTGAAAAAGGGAGTTGGAAGCAGGATACATTAGGAAGTTTCCTCTCTTTCTATGAGGCTTGGAACTTTAAAAATAATACTATCTGCCTTTTGAGTATGACATCTGAATTATTATTTAGGTGAAAAGATTCTGGATTTTTATCCTGAACATAGAGTTTTCAAAAATCCCTTGGTGATTACTCGTGGACCCTGCAATGAAAAGTAGACCATAATGATGAGCTAGTCATAAAATGCATCATTAATTTGTCCACTCTGATAGAAGTTATTTATTGAGATCAGTGCATATTTCACTGTCTCTGAGTAACCGCCAGCAACCCTGATTTTGCTTTTTCCTTTAAAGGGAGGCAGCAAGCTTAATCATGCACTAAAGGATTTAAAAATTACAACTCCCAAGACCTGACAAAATACTTTTCTGTCCCACTGACTGGAATAAAATGCAAATAATAATTCTGCATTGCTTCCCGAGGAACACCGTATGGAATAACTAGTTAATGAATGTCAAGAACTTAAAAAATAACGATTAAACATGAAACAAAGGCTAAACATTATTGTAGTTTATTTTTTCTCATTGTGGAACTATCTCATTTCAGTGGCCTAGACCTTCTTTTTCTACAGCTGCAAAAATGCATTTGGTGATTATGAGAATTAATCAAGCCCCAAACTGGATTATGGTGGTTGCAGACATCCTTAATTACAGGCAATGGAAAGCGAAGGTCATTGCTGGTTTGAATCCAACAAAGGTCAGTGCAGTGAAAAAGCCATTAACAACTGAATGTGATTTTGTGCTCTGAACATAATGAATTGCTGCCTCAGCCCAATTTCTCAGTAAACAGGTGTTCTACATCCAAGCTAACAATCACAAAAAGGACCAACTGGCCCCTTAGCTGGCAGCCTCGATAAACAGTGGTTCTCAGCCTTGGCTATACATCAGCACTGAACGGCACTGAACTTGCAGGCACCCAGGCAGCACCTAGACCAATTAAACTGGGATCTCCAAAACTGGGACAGAAGCATCAGTTATGTTTTTTCTTTTTTAATAACTCTGGTTGATTCCTAGGTACAGCCGTATTTTCAACCACTGCTCCATAGGAAGCAAAAGCCAAAAGCAACACTGTTCCCCCCTTAACATGCATTTCTTCAAGATAGCTTTGCAATAAATCACAAACTATGGTGAAAGTGTTTATGTCACTAATGTCCCAGTAAGGTAAGACCTGTAGATTAATGATACATTTTAGTTCTTTTGAATACCTAGTTGAAAGCTTTGAGGACTATCATGTGACTTTAAAAAATAATTAGTAATCCCAACCCCAGCTGTCAGTTGGAATATTTGACCCTATAACCTGCCTGTGGACATAGATATTTGAGGCCTATAAGGTTTTTGAGGTTTCTGTACTCATACCCATTTATCACCCTCAACAGTGGCACAATTTAGATCTTTGCCTGAGGACAGAAAAGCTTTTGAACTTAATAACTTAATATGAGAAATGCAAATCCTCTATTTTTTAACCTACCATCTTCAATTCAGGTAAAACACAAATGTATTATATCTCCCCCTAGCCCCTCTTTCTGCTTGGTACCAGTGACAAGAAAATGCAAGCTGAACACAATCATAGTGTGCTTGGAAAGGAAGCTAGAGATCATGGGAACGTGTGGTGTCCCACGTGCTCTAGAGCTCCCAGAAACTTTGCCAGATCATTGCTTTTTTCTCACTCCATTTTGTCAACAATATTATTATCTTTTATTCAGGAGATAGCCACACAGGCCCCTGGCAAGGATGAGCCAAACACGATGGCACCTTCTCATCTCCTGCCTCCTGCAAGAGCTCTGTGTTTGATCACCATGATTGTATTCAGTGACTGAAGTTTAAGTGCCATTGAATTGCCAAACATAGACAAGGCTCTTCTGTACAACTAGCTTGGATTTACTGGTCGGGAATCAGTTTTGGTACTATTATTCTGAGAGCAAACACCTGGTCTTCTCTCCAGATTATAAAAACCTTGTAGAATTTTAGATTAAGAAGAAATTCAACTCCCCTATTTTCCGGATGAGATGCCGAGGCCCATATTCACAAAGCTAGTTAGTTGAAGAGCTAGGATTTAAACTGAGACCTCCTAACACTGACAAAGAGCTCTTTCCACCACTACAGCTGCTGTTCTTGGAACAACTTGAGACCTTGATTTGAAATACAGGATCTTCACACCTAGTGTTGCTTGAACTGCTTCAAAGCACTTACCTGACAGTGACAAGAGGCTTAGAGATTATGACTCTTGAGGAGTATTCAAGGTTTGAGATGAGGCCGTGTCACATTTCCTGTGATTTTTGGAGTTTCCATTAAAATTTTGCAATTTAAAAATTCTCTGTAAAATATCAGAGGTCCTCAGAAAAATATGCAGTGATAAAGCCCTTCAGGTTCAAGAAATAGACTGGATAATCAGTGTGTAGGACTGCAAAACACTATTATCAGGGAAATTACATGGGATGAAAACTTTTCTTCACTAAAACTATTGGGCCACCACTAATATTCTTTAATATGTGAAATAACCTAAAAAACTTTTAACACAAGATGCTAGCAGTGGTATTTTTGCTTTAGTAATTCAGCTTAAATTGAATTATGTACATTTAAAAATGGCACCAGAATAATGGAGGAGAAAGGCAAGGACTTATATTGTCCTTTTAAAAAGATGGATAAGTTTATATACTAATATTCCATGTTCCAGCAGTGCATTGTCATTAAATTTTCTGCTCTTATAATTATGTCAAATTGCTTCCATAATGTTTAATTTCCCATAGTACATCTCGTGTTGGTTTTCAAAGAAATTACAAATTACAACAGCTACTTGATATAAGTAGGGGGCCATGCAGTATATTCAAATGTAATTGTCTCATTTTCCTACAAGCTCTAATTATAAATAATTTTTTAAAAGCTGTACTGTTCTATTGGCCTATTTTTATGACAGTACCATGCTGTTTTGGTTACTATAGCTTTGTATTATATTTTGAAGTCAGATAGTGTGATGCTTCTAGCTTTGCTCTTCTTGCTCAAGATTGTTTTGGCTATTTAGGGTCTCTTGCGGTTCCATACACGTTGTAGACTTGTTCTTTGTTTTTAATGCTTCTGTGAAGAATGTGAATGGTATTTTGATAGAAATGGCACTGAATTTGTAGATCAGTTTGGGTTGTATGAACATTTTAACAATATTAATTCTTCTAATTCATGAACATGTGATATTTTTACATTTATTTGTGTCTTCCTCAATTTCTTTAATTATTATGTGAAGTGAGATAAGTCAGGCACAGATGGACAGATACCACAGGATCTCACTCATATGTATAATCTAAAAATCTTGATTTTATAGAAATATAGAGTAGAATGGTAGTTATCAGAGGCAGGTTAGTTACTGAGAGGGGGAGTATGGAGATGTTGATCAAGCGATACAGGGTTATAGTTAGATAGTAGGAATAAAGTTCAGGGGATCTATTATACTGCAAGGTTACTACAGTTAGTGACAATCTATAGTGTTCTTAAAAAACATAGAGAGTGGATGTTATGTGCGCTTGCCACGACAATAACTACATGAGGTAATGTATTTGTTGATTAGCTAGACTTTGCTATTTCGTAATGTGTACATATATCAAAACATCATGTTACACATGATAAAACATACAATGTTATCCATCAACTTAAAATAATAAATTTAGGAGCTTTTTGGAGGCGTCTTTAGAGTTTCCAAGGTATATGATCATATCATCAGCAAACAGCAACAGTTTGACTTCCTCTTTACTGATTTGGGTGCCCTTTATTTTTTTCCCTTGTCTGATTGCTCTGGCCAGGACTTCCACTACTATGTTGAATAGAAGTGGTGAGAGTGGGCATCCTTGTCTTGTTGCATTTCTCAAGTGGAATGCTTTTAACTTTTCCTTGTTCAGTGTAATGTTGGCTGTGGTTTTGTCATAGAGGGCTTTTACTACATTGAAATATGTCCTGTCTATGCCAATTTTGCTGAGTGTTTTAACCATAAAGTGATGCTAGATTTTTCTGCATCTATTGAGATGATCATGTGATTTTTGTTTTTAATTCTGTTTGTGTGGTGTATCACATTTATTGACTTGTATTATGTTCAACCATCCTTGTATCCCTTGTATGAAACCCACTTGATCATGGTGGATTACCTTTTTGACATGCTGTTGGATTTGGTTAGCTAGTATTTTGTTATGGATTTTTGCATCTATATTCATCAGGGATATTGGTCTGTAGTTTTCATTTTTTTTTTTGTTATGTCCTTTCCTGGATTTGGTATTAGTGTGATATTGGCTTCATAGAATGATTTAGGGAGGATTCCCCCTTTCTCTATCTTGTGGAATAGTATCAATAGGATTGGTACCAATTCTTCTTTGAATGTCTCATATAATATAATTCAGCTGTGAATCTGTCTGGTCCTGGACTTTTTTTGAGGGCAAGTTTTAAATTACCATTTCAATCTCACTGCTTGTTATTGGTTGATTCAGAGTTTCTATTTCTTCCTAGTTTAATCTAGGAGGGTTGTATATTTCCAGGAATTTATCCATCTCCTCTAGGCTTTCTAGCTTATGCATGTAAAGGTATTCATAGTAGCCTTGACTGGTCTTTTGTATTTCCATAGTATGGGTTGTAATATCTCCCATTTCGTTTCTAATTGAACTTATTTGGATCTTCTCTTTTCTTTTCTTTTCTTGGTTAATATCACTAATGGGCTAATCAATCTTATTTATCTTTTCAAAGAACCAGCTTTTTGTTTCATTTATCTTTTGTATTTTTTTGTTTCATTTAATTCTTCTCTGATCTTTGTCATTTCTTTTCTTCTGCTGATTTAGGTTTGGTATGTTCTTGTTTCTCTAGTTCCTTGAGGTGTGACCTTAGATTGTCTGTTTGTGCTCTTTCAGACTTTCTGATATAGGCATTTAGGGCTATGAACTTTCCTCTTAGCACTCCTTTGCTGTATCCCAGAGATTTTGATAGGTTGTGTCACTGTTATCATTCAGTTCGAAGAAGTTTTAAATTTCCATGTTGATTTCATTCAGCAAAGTTTCAGGATACAAGATTAATGTATACAAATCAGTAACTCTGTTATATACCAACAGTGACCAAGCTAAGGATCAAATCAAGAACTCAACTCCTTTTATAATAGCTGCATATAATAAAATACTTAGGAATATACCTAACCAAGGAGATGAAAGACCTCTAGAAGGAAAACTACAAAACACTGCTAAAAGAAATCATAGACAACACAAACAAATAGAAATATATCCCATGCCCATGGATGGGTAGAATCAATATTGTGAAAATGGCCATACTGCTAAAAGCAATCTAAAAAATCAAAGCAATTCCCATCAAAATACTATCACCATTCTTCACAGAACTAGAAAAAAAAACCCCTAAAATTCACATGGAACCAAAAAAGAGCCTGCATAGCCAAAGAAAGATTAAGCAAAAAGAACCAATCTGGAGGCCATAGTCACCAAAACAGCTGATCCTGGTGTAAAAATAGGCATGAAGACCAATGGAACAGAATGGAGAACCCAGAAATGAAGCCAAATACTTATAGCCAACTGATCTTTGATAAAGCAAAGAAAAACATAAACTGGGGAAGGGACACCCTATTCAACAACAAATGGTGCTACAATAATTAACAAGCTACATGTGGAAAAATGAAACTGGATCCTCATCCCTCACCTTATACAAAAATTGACTCAAAATGAATCAAGGACTTAAATCGAAGACCTGAAACCATAAAAATTCTAGAAGATAACATCAGAAAAATCCCTTCTAGACATTGGCTTAGGCAAGGATTTCATGACCAAGAATCCAAAAGCAAATGCAACAAAAACAAAGATGAATAGCTGGGGACTTAATTAAACTAAATTAAGCACAGCAAAATTTTGTGATTGTCTGTTTTTCCTGCAGATTGTTTCTTTTGCCGTGCAAGTTTAAGTTTTTGCACGGCAAAAGAAACAATCCAGAGGGTAAACAGACAACCCACAAAATGGGAGAAAATCTTTGCGATCTATACATCCGACAAAGAGCTAACATCCAGAATCTACAAGGAACTCAAATCAGCAAGAAAAAAACAAACAATCCCATCAAAAAGTGGGCTAAGGACATGAATAGACATTTCTCAAAAGAAGATATACAAATGGCCAACAAACAGATGAAAAAATGTTCAACACCACTAATGATCAGGGGAATGCAAATCAAAACTGCAGTGTGATACCACCTTACTCCTGGAAGAATGGCCATAATAAAAAAATGCAAAGAATAATAGGTGTTGGCATGGATGTGGTGAAAAGGGAACATTTTTAACGTGGTGGGAATGTAAACTAGTACAACCACTATGGAAAACAGTGTGGAGATTCCTTAAAGATCTAAAAGTAGAACTACCCTCTACCCAGAGAAAAAGAAGTCATATGAAAAAGATACTTGCACACACATGTTTATGCAGCAGAATTCACAATTGCAAAAATATGGAACCGGCCCAAATGTCCATCAATCAATATGTGGATAAATAAATTGTGATATATACTGTAGAATACTAGTCAGCGATAAAAAAGGAATGAAATAATGGCATTAGCAGCAACCTGGATGGAATTGGAGACTATTATTCTAAGTGAAGTAACTCAGGAATGGAAAACCAAACATTGTATGTTCTCACTTATAAGTGGGAGCTAAACTATGAAGATGCAAAGGCATAAGAATGATACGATGGACTTTGGGGACTTTGAGAACGGATGTGGGGTGGGTGAGGGATAAAAGACTACACATTGGGTACAGTGTTCACTGCTAGGGTAATAAATGCACCAAAATCTCAGAAATCACCACTGAAGAACATATTCATGTAACCAAACACCTACTGTTCCCCAAAAACCTATTGAAATAAAAATTATAATGAATTTAGGAAAAAAGCTGCAGTGGAGGAACTCATAGAAAACTGTCTCATACCAAGTCTGTGCTCTCATGGGTCTTATGTATCAGTGAGAAAATATCATAATAAAATAATATCAGGTCAGAGACAAATAATATTAACGAAAATCCAGCAGTGGACGAGGGGGTGCAATTGGTAGGGAGTGCATTTTAGAAAGGTTGGTCAGAAAAGGCTTCTCTGATAAGGTGACTTTTGGCAGAGATTTTAATAAAGGATAGAAGAGCATGCCCATTTTGATAAATAATAGTTTAACATTTTTTAAAGTACTAAGATCACTCTTCCAAACCCAAGTTTATTAATCAGAGTTCAATGTCACAAGTTACAGAAAAGGGATTTATTAAAAGCATATTGGAGCCTGTAATCCCAGCACTTTCGGATGCCAAGGTGGGTGGATCATCTGAGGACAGGAGTTCAAGACCAGCCTGGCCAACATGGTGAAACCCAGTCTCTACTAAAAATACAATAATTAGCTGGGCATGGTGTGGAGTGTCTGTAATCTCAGCTACTTGAGACGCTGAGGCAGGAGAATCACTTGAACCCGGGAGGCAGAGATTGCAGTGAGCCGAGATCATGCCATGGCACTTTAGCCTGGGCGACAAGAGCAAAACTCCATCTCAAAAAAAAAAAAAAAAAAAGCATATTGGGACGTTCACAGATGCTCCAAGTGGGTAGAAAATTTGGGGGCAGATTCACACGGACAGGAAAAAGTGGTCTGGTGGAAAAACACAGCCACTATTACCCCAAATGGGAATATCAGCTGCAGGAACCCCTAACAAAGCTGAGCAGGGCTTCAGTTTGCAGGAGCTGGTAGAGCCACCAGAGAACATTTCTTTGGTCTCTACTTTTTTTGCCATCTTCTTGCTAGTAAAAATTTAGTACTACCAAGTCTGATTAGCAGAGCCTATGTCTTATGCCCAGGCCCTAATTATAAAGAAAGCAGGGTGGTGAATGTTTGGCATTTTCAGCTTTTGTGGCTGGGGAAATCCACACATGCAGGAAAGGCTTCAGTTGCTGGAGGATTATAAAGGATGATCAATTCTACAATAGCAAGAATCTCTTATAACTCAAACATTCCTTAACACTAACAACCTTTTCTTATATTGTTCCTAGACTCAAAAATGGTTAATAACACTTTGGTATTTATAAAGGTGACTTATTTATTTAAAATATTAACTATCCACAGTGGCCATTATATTTGCATACAGTTCAATACTCAAAAGATCTGTGAGGTTTTGAAGCAGAAAAAGAATTTCATTTCAGCTAAGGGATTTAGATTATATATAAGATGGTATATATAATTTACTCTTGAAATGGGTAATTGAATTGTTGCTGAATAAATATGAGATGATATATTGAAATAGATACAGTTTGCAAATATAAATAAGTTGGGTATATGTAACTGGTTTCACAACCCTGTGAGAACATATATGATACCATTAACATTAACAGCTATATCTCAATTGCTCCAATATCCAAACCATTTTGTGTGGCTTCAGTCTACTGTCAAATGTTGTTTCCCTGGGTGAGGTCAGATGCCTCTAGCATGACGGAATCCCATGTGCCCTGGAAGAAGACTTCTCATGTGCTCGTGACTATTCCTGAATTATTGGCTTATTCCTCTATCACTACCTGTGATACTGGAGTCTTCTGGGTGACAGGTACTTTCTGCTGTTTCCCCCTTTTAATTCTCCACTGGACCTCAAAGCAGCACTGTATAAGCTTAGAGCCTCATCACATTTTTGATGTTAACTGTAAGATTTTTCCCTTAACCCTTCATTTTCAGAGGTTTAAAACTGGTTAATCAGTTCAATGAAGGGGACAACACAACATCTATCCCTTTCACTGCCTTTATGAATACTCCTTTCACAAGTATCATTGTCGTACTTATACCATCACCATAAACAACAACAACATGTCCCCTTTCTTCTTCAGCTCAAAGATTAAAACTTCTCCCTCATATTTATAGACACAAATAGATACATGTACACAGTATGGCACAAAAAGCAATCTATTCATAGTTTAGGCTTAGTGAAGATATCCTGATACTCCCGCATTGGTACATAATAGAAAACAGACTTTGTGATGGTTAGATGTACAAACTGGGTAGCGTTTGGTTTATATATTTACTTGACTGTCTTTTACTCTAGCTAATGTAGAAGCTCAGGTGTTCAAATTATCCAAGCTCTCTGTTCCAGCAGTTATTTTCAAATCCAAATTGGGAAGTGATGGGTTCCTGATGTATTTAAATAAAATTTGTTAAAATGTGCCATTATCAACAGTAATGTACCAGCCTGGCTCAGTTAGGTCAGAAACAGATCAAAAAGCAGAAAAGTCGGCTGTTTCCTAACTGAGCTGCTTTGCTTAGCTGTTTTGGGGCAATTAGTAGCTTGAGGAAAAAGTGAATAACAAATTTACAACTATGTGTAATTGGATTTATGTGTGCAAATTCCTCAAAGAAATCAAATTACATTTGAAAACACTGTTTTATTTTTCTTCATGACAACCTATTATGGGGAAAAAGGGATGGGTATTTGTACTACCATTTTATAGATGAGAATTTTGACTTGCTGAGAGAAGATGACAAAGTAAAAGATGAATAAACTACTTCTGGACTGTAAGTCTCTGGTCTAAAACTCTTCTACTTTCTATATAATAATGCTGTTTAAAATATGGATCTGTGGTCATATAATTCCTATCATTTGTGTGTTAATAATTTGATGACACCTTATCTATGTACTTTCTATCTTGATTTCTTAAGTTCTTTGAGACCTGTTTTTCTTATCTAAATCCCTTATGCATATGAATCTTGAATTTAGTATTTTGTTCAACATGAAGGCACTTTGGGCTTCACAAGAACACAAATTTGTATAGGATGGACTTTAATATAACAGCTCTATTTTAGATTCTAAGAGTATCTCATTTTTAGAATTTCTATAAGAATGTTGTAAGTCTCTCCTTTAACATTGTCCTAGAGACTGCCCCGTGCCAGCTTAACTGACAATTCACTGTTTGCTCTGAACTAGAGGCAATATTCCTTTGTGCTCTGTGCAGACACATCAATATGTATTTCAAGCTCCATTCCTAAAACTGACCTAGTGCTGGCATGTCACAATTTTTTCGGCTAATGAATCTGATTTTATCTTTCCCAGATAATTATACAAATAATTAATTGCTTCAGAGTCCAGAAATCCATATTTAACAGGTTGTAAATACACACATTTTTCTTTGAGAAATGACAGGTTTGTATTGTTATTCTTTTTCCTCAGAATCCAATACTGCAAAAAGAGTAAAAACAAAAAACACCATATTTTCTTCCAGTATAAATATCTCAGAGAAAGGAGCTCATGGTGCTTTAAATATATTGTATTTTCACAAGAGTATTTCTGTGATGTGAGTGGGAAAAGATTTTCATTTTCTTTTTATTATAATCAACAAATATTGACTGAGATTGTTATTATGCTAGGGAAGTAGGAAACAAACATGTTTAAGGTTATACAAGCCTCAAAGCCACTCATGTGCTAGATGGAGTAAACATTTGCTAAAAGATAGTACTACAAAATTATATGTTATATATGTATATATATAGATTGATTGATTGAAGCTTATGTTACAGAAGCAGTTCTACTTAGGAAATTTTTAAAGTTGAAAATATTGTTGATATGAGCAATGCTATTGGCTAAAGCAAAGCATGCCAACAACAGCCAGTGTTGATGGACCTTGTTGTAAGGTCTGTTTGACCTTACAAATAGATGGGATTTCAAACAGCTTTTCACATCCTAATGATTGTAAATATCTGTAAATGCCAAAAGAACTCAGAAAAGGTGGAAGTAGTTAGAGCATATGGGATTTAAGATACACTTTAAAGGAAGAGTTAGATATATTAGTGGACAGCAGGAAAAGGGACTGAAGTGTGCATGGAAAGAAGAGTGGAAATGTGAATGGCCATTTGGCAAATACTAAGGAGATCTGGTAGGATTAAGAGTAATTTTTTTTTAAGATGTGTGATGTCACACATCAGGAGAGATAGAAGGTAAACTGAAAGTTTACAAGTGGAAAGTAATGTGTGCAAAAACTGTGTTAATGTGTAAGAACTGTTGCTGAGGAGCGGGCTGACATCAAGGAAACCAGTTGGAAGATGAGGAAGGATAGGAACTAGATTTATTAAGCATCTGTTATGTGCTGGTCCTTGTGATATGTGCTTAGCATGTGGTTTTTCATTTGACTTCAGAAACTGTCAGAGTATAGACAGGATGTCACAAGCTCATGAGCAGAGTGTTAATGGGAACAGAAAGAAAGAAACAGTTTAAAATTAGACAGGATTTGAAGCCTCACTCTATGAGGCAAAAGGGGACTAGGTCAAGAATATCATAAAAACTAAAAATAAAAAATTAAATTCAAGAAGAATATCTCAAAGTCCTTAAACTGAATTTCAGACAGGAACATCCATGGGTTGGAAGGAGGAAGGAAAGTGGCAGAGATGACAAAAGATAAGGAGTTTGAGCTGAAGAAGGAGAATTGAGAGACACAGAGTTATAGAAATTCAGGGATGGCACAGTTTTAATACTAAAAGAGAAGCTCTCACCAAATAGTTCCACTTATAATTCAGGTCCCACAGCTTCTACTACTGCTGTCTACCCAGTTACTAATCTGGTTGCTGGAGTGTGAAATAAATCTGTTTCTACTGCCTATAAATTGAGGTCCTTGGATGGAAGAAACATAGTAGGGCATGACTATTGGTTTTGGCAGCTGACAGATTCTGATTTCTTTAACGGATAGAAAAAAAAATCTGATAGAAAAAAATTATTAATACAGTTCTATAAAACAAGAGAACGTTAGCAGTCTTCATAACATCATCTGCTGATGCTGTATCGGAAGAACTTTCTTTTTTTTTTTTCTTTTGTTTTGTTTTGAGACGGAGTCTCACTTCCTTTGTTGCCCAGGCTGGAGTGCAGTGGGGCAGTCTCTGCTTACTGCAGCCTCTGCCTCCTGGGTTCAAGTGAATTCTTGTGCCTCAGCTTTCCGAGTAGCTGGGATTACGGGCGTGTGCCACCACTCCTGGCTAATTATCGTATTTTCAGTAGAGATGGGGTTTCACCATGTTGGCCAGGCTGGTCTCGAATTCCTGGCTTCATGCAGTCTACTGGCCTCGACCTTGAGAAGTGCTGGGATTACAGGCGTGAGCCAACTTGCCCGGCCCTGGAAGAACCTTGTTCTTATTCTTTTTTTTTGTTTGCCTTATCCCTTGCTCTCAGTTCCCAGGAAACAGCCAATGAAAAACCAAGAAGGCAGACAGAAAACAAAACAAAACAAAACAAGAAAACAAACAAAACAAAATCAAACCCAAACCCCAAAATCCTTGTTAGGTGTATAACATGAGATAATGGTTTGTTGGTTACTGCCTGTTATATCTGCAGTTGTGCCATTAGTACTCCAAAGTCACAAACTCCAATTAGTACACATGGAGAGAAGAGTGGAAAGCAGAGTCATAAAATCTGAGGATTCTGAGGGTAATGACATCAGTGAGCCTTCACTGCAAATTTCACTGTTCTTGTGAAAATAATTTCTTGTTTTAATAGTAAGGAAGGTGCTTTTCATGTTAAGACCTCATTCAAAGATGGGAGACTATTGGTTAATTGCTTATATAATTCTATTTTTATTTAAGTTGATGAAAAAGACATCTTTATCTTTTGTCTTTCATCCAATATAAATAAAAATAGGTGTAGTTTTTGTCATTAATCAAATAGATATGAGCTAAAAATGGTGAAAAATTTAATTAAAAGCAGAGATAACTGAATTCCTGGGTAGTATTAGCATTAGGCTTGCTGTTTTCAGGGAGGGAATTAATTAAATGACTCCTTCAAAACATTTATGATATGATCTATTATAGAAAGGAGACCTTTAAAAAGTAACACAATGGGGGAAATTAAAGCTATATTTATATCATTAATCGAGCATTATATAACATATTAAGAATACTTACTTTGTTTATTAATCATTGCCTTTCCTTGGTACACATAACAAGTGGGTGCCTAGATTCAGGGCGAGAGCACTGTACAGTTTGAAATACAAATTTTGTGTTGTAATTGCATGCTTATTTTAAGTGTGGTTTTCTGAATTTTTGGCTATGAAAGCAAAGCAAAGCAACAAGTTTGGGGCAGAAATTTACCTGCAGCCTATCTTACACAAGAGCTGGAGAAAGAATTTGTGGTAGGCAAACCAACTGCACACATTGAAAGTATAAAATAATATGTATTAAAATGATTATTTTATGATTTTTATTCTGTCAAAATATTTGCTGTATGTTTAATTTCCAAATAATATTGAAGAGAGATATTTCCATATTTGTTCAAAGAACACATTAATTAAAGGAGGATGGGAAATATTGCTGGAATAATATATTTTCTAATATTTATGATTCAGACTGGTTTTGAGAAGAATCCCTGGCGTGCAGTGAGCACTCTATAAATATTTGTTTAATAATTGGGCTGGAAAATGACTTAATCTTACTGAATTCTGCTTTTCAGTGATTAGTTTTTGTACCCCTGCACTGTATGTATTTTACCATTATTATAGAACTGATTACGAAACCCGGAATGAAACATGGTAGAAAAATGTGAGGAAACCTTTTTGGGGAGGAAAGCTCTAGTCCTTAATTTTATTTAAGCCTTTGCATTGAGTTTTGGGGAAGACTATTTATAAAAGAATGGGTAGTAGAAAAACAGCAAGCTTGGGAGCTACAGAACTTATGAGAGCAATAACATTGGTGGTGAAATTTATGCATTAAAATATTGGTTTTCAGACTTGTTCAGCTGTTGTTCTTTTGTAGTACAAATGAAAGCTTTGTTGCTCTGGTTGACTTAGGGCTAAGGTGGCTTGGAGTTATGTTTTCTTGTCGCCCAACTTCTTCTGTGATAGCCATAGCAGGGCTCTGAAGTGCAAAGTTTGAAAATGACTGCATTAGAAATAAGCTACGTGGGCTACACAGAAGACAAATATTTGTTGACTGACTTACTGATGGAATAAATGAAAGTATGAGTGGATGAATGAACTGATCTATCTGAGTAGATGAAGAAACAGGAGCAGCAGCAGCTAGAGGAGGAGGATGGGAAGGAGGAAGAGGGTGTGGTGGTAAAACACTGAGTGCTTTCTATGTGCTAGGTATTGTGCTAAACTATTATTTATTCAATGCTCACAATAAATCGAAATAAGGAAAGTACTATTATCGTTTTCATTTTACATATGAGAAAACTAATCATAGGGAGGTTAAGCAACTTGCTCAAAAATCACAGAGTGAATAAGTGATCATACTCCTGAATGAATCTTATGGATTAATATCAACATAATGAAAAAATGTATTAATTAATATGATAAATTGAATTAAATAAGTGCTTGTCTTATTTATATACATATATTTATATAATATATGTATATCTACATCTATATCTCTACCATGTGCCTGATAATATGTGAAGCATGTAGGAGAAATCAAATGAGGAACAAAGTGATTTTCTTCCTTTGAAGCACATGTAGTTTGTTAGAGAGATGCATTTACATATAATATTTACATATAGCATTACATTAGATGCATTTATGTTTACATTTAGGTGGTTTGCTTAATTCAGAAAATAAAGGAAGTGAGAAATTAGGGCTTGGTGAGATCATCGTAACCTGGAATGGTTATCAGAAGCTTTATTTAGAAGATGAGATGTGAAATAAAAAAGTGTAGGATAGGAAGGAGGATAAGAGAATTTTCTAGGTTGGCCGGAAGATGAGGACAAGCATGATTATAAATACCATACATGAGGATGCCCATATAGAGATAGATCTGACTAATAATATGGTTTGTGTTGGGCAACTGGAATGTTAAAACAGTTTTTAGAGGGCCTTGAATACAGAATCTAAAGTCTGTGTTCTATCTTAACATTGACTGGGGATATTTTCGAGAAGACATAGTAGGAGGTGGGAAGTAGTCTGGTGGCAGCAGCCAATGCTATAACAGGATTAGCCTAGTGGTGGATACAAAACAAATTACTGCAGGGATTGTGTAGACTTTGAACTAAGGAAATGTGTTAAGAAGGTATCGCAATAACTCAGGACTGGGTTTTAAGGAACACCCAAATTGGGTCATGATACTGGCAATACAGATGAGGAGAGAGAAAATCAGAAATAATTTTCTTTTGGTGGAATTGTGTCACTTGGATTTGGCTATAAGTTACAAAACTCAATGAAATTCTACTGACTATTTTCTGAGTGCAAAACAACTTTGTTATGTGGTCATGAAATACAGTGACTGCTTGCCTCAGACTTCTCAGCTTGTTGCAGCTGTAAATCATGGTATAAATACCTTACAACAGGAAATTCCCGGGAGTCAGACACAAAGTGTGTAAAATGAGCCAGAAGAGATCTGGTACTCTCAAAAAATAAATATGAACCATTTAAGAGTAAGAGAATTTGACACAAAATTATTCACTGAAAGTCAAACAATTCACCTGCATGGATCATCTACTACACACGTCTAATTACACCGCCACAAATTAACACTCACTTTGAAAAACGGACCATAACATTTTGCATGAGTAAGGGATAGATTTCTCTTCAATTTTATGGATTTTATACATGAAATCATTTTAAACGTTAGTAGCAAATTGCTGTAATTAGAAAACTATGCTCCAATAAATTTTCACTAGGAAAAAAAATGGTTATTGGTAATTTTGAGGTGCTGTAATAATTCCATTTTACCTGATATGAATATCATAGGACAGCAGAAGGTGGCAAACTTTTCCAGGGGAAATATATCCTTATCCTGAAATACATCTATTTAAAGTGTGCGCTACCCATTTTTTTTTTTTACTGTAATATTTATCCAATGCCTTTACTGCTATCAGTACAGCACATTTTTCTTTTCATTTCCTTTTCTTTCTTTCTTTCTTTCTTTTTTTTTGAGGCAAGGTTTTGCTGTGTCATCCAGGACGGAGTGCAGTGGCATGATCTCGGCTCACTGCAACCTCCGCCTTTTGGGGTCAACTGATTCTTGTGCTTCAGCCACCTGAGTAACTGGGATTGTAGGCATGCCCCATCATTTCCAGCTAGTTTGTGTATTTTTAGTAGAGCTGGGGTTTCACCATGTTAGCCAGTCTGGTCTCCAACTCCTGGGCTCAAGTGATCCTCCCACCTCGGCCTCCCAAAGTTCTGGGATTACAGGCATGAGCCACTGCACCTGGCTGACAACACATTTTTCAATTCGGCTAGTTTGGAATCCAAAGCAATGTAAATTCTGAATAGTTTATGCTGAAAATTAAGGAATGATGTTTGTTCTATAGGATAAGCTACTAGGAAAGAGGGTACTGATGTGTACTAAGTCTGTGGAGCTGTGGGTTGTTCAGCATTACATAATTTCTATCTCCATGCATGGCCTCCCTTCTTGAACAACTCTAGAAGACCCCAAAGCCAGCTGGTGAGGAATAAAAAGCAAGAGAGAGCTTCTCTATGATGTGTCATAAAGAAAGATTGAAGGGTCAAGAGATAAAGGGCTACTTTCTATGCCGCAGTTAGAACTTTCTCTCAACCCCAGCATTCTGGAGATTTTCAATACAGCTGGTTCCTATGCTCTTCTCTCATTCTCTACCTTGCTTTAACATCTCCACACTCTTCAGGGTTGGAAGATGAGACCAAGGATCTTTTTTCAGTCTCTCTGCAGGAAGAAAGCTGAGAGGAAAGAAAGAGGCAGGTCACCTCACAGCTGGGTTGGGAAGGACACCAAGCCTGGCTTTGGCATTTTCTCACCATTGGCTGCTTTTGTCTCACTCCCTGGGTGTGTCTTCTTTCCAATTATTATGAACTTAATTGCATTCCCCCCAGATTCATATGTTGAAGCCTTAACCCCTAGTACCTCAGAATGTGACTGTATTTGGAGATAAGGCACTAAAGAGACGATTAAGTTAAAATGAGGCCTTTAGGGTAGGCTCTAATCCAGTTGACTGGTGTCTAACAATCCCACTCTGGGTATATATCTAAAAGAAAGCAGATCAGTGTGTCAAAGAGATATCTGCACTCACATGTTTTTTGCAGCACTGTTTCTAATAGCCAAGATATGGAATCAACCTAAATGTCCATCAGTGGATGAATGGATAATGAAAATGTGGTACATATACACAGTGGGCTACTATTCAACCATAACGAAGAATGAAATCCTGATGTTTTAGCAACATAGAAGGAACTGGGGGACATTGTGTTAAGTGAAATAAGCCAAGCACAGAAAGACAAATATCATGTGTTCTCACTCATACGTGGGAACCTAAAAAAGTAAATCTCATGGAGGTAGAGTAGAATGGTGATTACCAGAGGCTGGGAAAAGGAGGATGAGGAGGATGAAGAGAAATTGGTTAAGAGGTACAAAATACAGTTAGATAAAAGGGATATGTTGTAGTATTCGATGGTAGAGTAGAAAAATTATAGTTAACAATAATATATTGTATGTTTCAAAATAGCCAGAAGAGAAAAATTGTCCTAACACATAGAAAACTGTTTGAGGTGATGGATATCCTCATCAACCTGACTTGATCATTGCGCATTGTATATAGTCATAAACATATCACATGTACCCTCCAAATATGTACCACTATTATATGTCAGTAAAAAAATATTAGAAAACAGGGAAAAAAGATACACCAAAAAGGTGTTTGCATGTGAAGAGGCAGCAAGAGGGAAGCCATCTGCAAGCCCAGTGGAGAGAGGCCTCAGAGAAAGCCAACTCTGACAACACCTTGATCTTGGACTCTTAGCCTCTAGAGCTGTGAAAAAAAATAAATTTCTGTTGTTTGTTTAAGCCACCAAGTATGTATTATTTTGTTATGAAGTCCCTAGCAAACGAATATACAAATGCTCCTTGACTTATAATGGAGTTATGTCTCAATAGGCACTTAATACATCTAACCTACTGAATATCATAGCTTGGTCTAGCCTACCCCAAACATGCTTAGAACACTTATATTAGCCTACAGTTGAATAAAATCATCTTACACAAAGCCTACTTTATAATAATAATGTGCTAAATATCTCATATAATTTATTGAATATTATACTGCAAGTGAAAAACAGAATGTTTATATGGGTACTAGAAGTATGGTTTCTACTGAATGTGTATCGCTTTTGCACCATTGCAGAGCTTGTTGTGCTGAGTTGTGTCAGTGTCGGTCAAGTGTTATGAAATTTCTTAGAGATGTTCTGTATTCAAAGGAAAAGAATATTTCTAAGGACTTAATCCTAAACCATGTCTGATCCTCTGGTGCTTTGGTTTGTTTTGATCTGAGATAATGTATTAACAAAGTCATTTTTAAGCAGAAAGCGTAGTGAAATTCTTATTATTTTCTTCTATTATTTTTTAGGCTGAACTTTGAAACCTATTCTCTTTTAATCACATCATTTTAAAAAGCTAAATTTGACAAAGGGGATGGAAAAAGTATTTTATTTAGGGTTAGAGTTCAATGAATTTTCTTAAAGTCCATTTTGAAGATACTGTGGTGGTCCAGGCTTCTGTTTTATAGTTTTAGATTTTATATTTAGATCATGGTCTATTTTACAATTAGTTTTTGTATGTGAGTGTGGGTTAAAGGCTGTGCTTGTCACATATGTATGCACACATATATGAGTATATATATGTGTGTGTATATATGCATATATATATACATAACTAACAGTTGATGCTTAAACAACATGGGTTTGAATTGTGTGGGTCCACTTATACATGAATTTTATTCAACCAAACATTAATAAAAAATATAGCCTTTTCAGGATGCAAAACCCCATATGGAGGGCCATCTTTCCATATATACCTATACTTGAGTCCCAGTAGAGCTGACAGTGAGACTTGAGTATACCTGGATTTTGATACATATGAGCAGTCCTGGAACGAATCCAACACATATACTGAAGGACAACTGTATTTGGTATATGAATATCCCAATTCAGTGGGAAAAAGATACTTTGTAAAATGAATGAAATAGTTCACAGGTGTTTGGGAGGACCAGGATGATAAGTTCTAGTTACAAGGCAAACAAAAGAGCAAACAATGTAGTATAAAGCATATGTCAGAGCACTGCACCAGAATTATACTCCTGGATAGAAGTCTAGAGGTATATCTCTCAGATGATAGAGATTGTATTTGTTTTCTTTAATGTGTCTATCTGTTTGCTGTTTGATTCAAATATGGCTTAATTATATGATGTTAAGGATAAACTTAACCCCTCTGTACCTTAGTTTCCCCATCAATAAAGTGGGGATCAAAATAGCATCTGCCTCAAAGAGTTTTTAAAGGGATTAAAAAGAATGTACATAAAATATTGAAATATTAGCCATTTATTATGAACACCTGTTTCTTCCAGGTGCTATCTTCTAAGCAGCTAGCTCACTTAAATGGGGAAAGAGTCTTCATAGGACCATTATTATGGTCTGCTTACCTCATATGTTCCCTGTGAGCAATTAGAATTTAAGCACAAATATCCAGTTACTTTCCTTTGATTAACAATTCTGGAGGGGTTCCTCTAACTCAATAGTTTACAAAGACATCAAAATGATTAATCGAAAATGACTGAACTCACATCATGAAATTAATTATATAGAGATTACCAAGCAGTTCACTTATGCATAAACATCATCACAAATGATATCCACATAAATTTATGTCCCCCTGATATTTATTACCAATTCATTTTTCTAGAGAGTTTTGGGAAAAAAACACTCTGCCAATACTGCTAAGGGTATTTTCCTTCTAATTTTCATCCATGTCTCTTTTCTTACTGTCCTTGTTCACTGTTGTCCATTGATTCAGTTTTGTCTTCCATGCTGGGCCAATACCTGCTGATCTAATCTGCTTCATGTCAGCCTTGTCACTCCCTTGATTTAAGACTGATATGCTGATTGCAAGGACTTCTAAGTCTCTGTCTACATTTCTGTAAGTCTAAAAATTCTCTTTTTATTTATGATTGCAGATATTCAAGCAACTTGCTCCATTTTTGCAAATATGGTGACTGTATTGTGTATATAATAGGCAAATATAGTAGTTGCCTATTATAAAATATCTCCTTTATATATTGCTGTGCGATGAGAGGTTTTGCAGAATCTCCTGATCATGACCAAGCTACATGATTTAAGGGACTAAGTGTAAAATGAAGATGTGGTGTTTTTTTGTTCAAAAATTATTATTATTATTATTACTATTATTATTATTATTATTATTATGAGATGGAGTCTCACTCTGTCGCCCAGGCTGGAGTGCAGTGGCACCAGCTCGGCTCACTGCAAGCTCCACCTCCCGGAGTCACTCATTCTCCTGCCTCAGCTGCCCGAGTAGCTGGGACTACAGGCACCCGCCACCACACCTGGCTAATTTTTTGTATTTTTAGTAGAGACAGGGTTTCACCGTGTTAGCCAGGGTGGTCTCGATCTCCTGACCTTGTGATCTGCCCGCCTTGGCCTCCCAAAGTGGTGGGATTACAGGGATAAGCCACAGCGTCCAGCCTGTTCAAAAATTATTAAAACTTTCAGGACATTGAGAGCAGGGCATTAAACCAAGAACAGGGCCCTTCTATACATGGGCCCTGTGTGTCTGCACAAGTTGTACATCATGAAGCTGACCCTGATGCTGGATTCTGGTGGAAAGGAAAGAATGCTTAGAGTGAATGCACCATGAAAATGTGTCACCTATTGCTCAGAATACATTTTATACAGCTTGATCATTACTTTCTCTGCTGTATTATTTTATATCCCATTGTCTGCCACCTTCCTAACTTCCATGGCAGGACTATAGTTGAATATCCACTTCTCACCTTAGTGGTTTTTGTGGTTTAATCTTATTATGCTCACTTGTATGTTTTCTCATTACAGATAGAGACGAGGTAAGCCATATGCTGCTTCTGATAAATATTTATTGAGCACAAAATAATCTGTACATAGTCTTGTGCTTAGCACTATACAAAGAAAGCTGAAGGGGCACAGTCTCAATATTGCTGTGGTTACTTTTGAGGGCCAGGCTCTATCTGCTGCATGACCTGAATTACTTATTTTCTCTATACCATTCCTCAATTTCTTTATCAGTAGAAATGAACATACTAAGGTAAGGGTGTTGTTACAGTGAAAATAAAATATATTTAGCACATCTGGAACAGTGCTTGATGCTGAGTAAGTACTCAGAAATATTAGCTATTTTCCTTGGTTTTCATATCTGGACCAGGAGAAACATACAATGTTCCCACCCTTGCATTTTCATGCCCAACATTTGGATCAATATAGAATTTTTGTCCTAGTATAAGCTAACTTTTTGCTGCTGTATTAGTCCATTTTCATGCTGCTGATAAAGACATAGCTGAGACTGGGTAATTAAAAAAAAAAGCGGTTTAATGAACTCACAGTTTCACATGGCTGGGGAGGCCTCACCATCATGGTGGAAGGCAAAAGGCACATCTTACATGGCAGCGTGCAAGAGAGAATGAGAGGCAAGTGAAAGGGGAAATCCCTTGCAAAACCATCAGATCTCGTGAGACTTATTTACTATGATGAGAACACTATGGGGGAACCATCCCATGATTCAATTATCTCCCACTGGGTTCCTCCCACAACATGTGAGAATTATGGGAGCTACAATTCAAGATGAGATTTGGGTGGAGACACAGCCAAACCATATCACTTGCCAAAGGTAATACAGTAAACATCAGCCCTTGCTATTCTTCACAATTAGAATCTATAAAAATATATACCTACTGATGCCAGGCGTGGTGGCTCACGCCTGTAATCCTAGCACTTTGGGAGGCCAAGATGGGCAGAACACGAGGTCAGGAGTTTGAGACCAGCCTGGCTAATATGGTGAAACCCCATCTCTATTAAAAATACAAAAATTAGCCGGGCATGGTGGTGCATGCCTGTAGTCCCAGTTACTCGGGAGACTGAGGCAGAAGAATCACTTGAACCTGGGAGGCAGAGGTTGCAGTGAGCCAAGACTGTGCCACTGCACTTCAGCCTGGGCAACAGAGCAAGACTCTGTCTCAAAAATAAAAATATATATATATATCTACTGATTTAGAATCTCTTGGTGGGGTGCCAGTTGTAAATGTGTGTGCATGTGTGTGTTGGAGATGATCAAAAGATAGTGAACCTATGAATTATTTTTCCCTTCCCTTGCCTTCCCCTCCCTTCCCCTCCCTTCCCCTCCCTTCCCCTCCCTTCCCCTCCCTTCCCCTCCCTTCCCCTCCCTTCCCCTGCCTTCCCCTCCCCTCCCCTTACCCTCCCCTTACCCTCTCCTTACCCTTCCCTTCCCCTTCCCTTCCCTCCTTTTGTGTGTCTGTTTACCTTTGTGGTGGCACTGTGGGGATTCATTAGCTTCCAAGGAGTTTACAGTATATTGAGGAAGAGAAACAAGAAAATTGAACACATTTGAAACGGGGTAATTTATGAGAACACAAAAGAGGGATACAAAAATCTAGCCTGGGCTGTGGGGATTTCCAGGAAGCCTTCTTGTAGAAGATGACTTCTGAACTGAGACTTAAAGGATGAATTGAAATTTATCAAGAGTAAAATGTGTTACAGATAGGAGGAATAGGATGCACAAGATGAACTTATGCCTTTTGAAGTTCCACAGGTAGTTTTAGTATAGAACTAGGGTTGAAAAATTATAATTTAAAATTGTTTTTTAATTCAGAAAATTTGTATAAGAAAACAGGCCTAGAAGAACTGTGCTATTCTCTTTGCCTTTGCCTGTTTTCTGCATCCCAGTTCCTCACTCCATCCTGGTGACATTTGTCTTTAGCCTTGCTTGGCAATATAGCTTATATGTTTTGTTGTTATGCCAACTATTAGAGAAGCCTGATAGTATACTGGGACAATATTGAGAAACTGCATTTGTTTTTTTAAGTCTGATAAATGTTTTTTTTTTCTTAGAAAGTTGCATGTTGACTATATCAGTTATTTTACTTACCTTCACAAAGTGGGTCTTTGCCTATTTTTATCAGACTGATCTTGTTAGAGAATAATCTTTGATATTCACTTTAGGTTAGTTGTTCTGGGTTACATTAGCTTATAAATCATAGAGCCTGATTGAGAACTCCAGTGTTCTGATTCCAAGATCATATTTCTTTTTACTGTGTTTCAACAACATTTAAAGACACTAATCATAATCTGTTCTGTCTTTTTATTTTTACTTTTTATTTTTTTATTTTTTGAGACAGAGTCTCACTCCATCACCCAGGCTGGAGTGCAGTAGTGTGTCCTTGGCTCACTGCAACCTCTGCCTCCTGGGTTCAAGTGATTCTCGTGCCTCAGCCTTCCAAGTAGCTGGGATTACAGGCACGTGCCACCACACAGAGCTAATTTTTTTATTTTTAGTAGAGCCAGGGTTTCACCATGTTGGCCAGGCTGCTCTCGAACTCCTGACCTCAAGTCATCGGCCTGCCTCAGCCTCCCAAAGTGCTGGGATTACAGGCATGAGCTCGGCCTGTTCTGTCTTTTGAATGAGTCCTTTAATCCATTTGTTGTCCATCAGCGGACAGAAGAAATCTGTAAAAAAGAGGAAGTATTTGGTTACGGTGGTAGCCAGTCTCCAAAGGTAGCTCCTACAGTTCTTCTCCTCCCTGTACTGTAGTCCCATCCTCACAGGAAGAGATGGAGTTACACCCCTTCCCTTTGAATTTGGGCTACTCCTGTGACTGCTTTGACTAATAGAATATTCTGAGACTTCTGAGTTTAGGCCTCAGAAGAACTAACAGCTTCCACTTTTTTCCTGTTGGAGCACTCGCTTTTGTGATACTCCTTCTCAAAAACCAGCTGCCATGCTGTAAGCACCATGAGCCCTGAGATGCTTTGTTCTGCAGCCCCAGAGATGCTCCCAGTGGAAAGCCAGTACCAACTGCCAGCCTGAGAGGGAACCATCTTGGATGTTCCAGTGCAGTTAAAGCCCTATATAACTTGGCTGGAGACTCAGCCGATATCCTGTGAAGCAGAAGAACCACCCAACTGATCCCAGTAAATCCTACAGAAACATGAAAGATACTTACATGGCTGTTGGTACAAGTCACTAAATTTTGAGGTGGTTTATTACACAGTAATGGATAACTGAAAATGTCACCTCTGTAACAAGACTTATGTCTTTTTCCCTCAATATCTTGACTAATGAAAACAACATGTGAAAAGTAGTGAGTTGCATGTGCTTACTAGGTAGACTGACTTATTACACTAATATAGCAATGATCTCTACTACAGAAGTTTTTCTGGAAATTATTTTAAATGACCAAAACTCTAATTATCCTGAGCAGAGCCAAAATGAAAGTTACACTAGTGTTTAAAAAGCCTCATTAATTTGAGAAGAATATATGATCTAGATGGCAAGAACCTTGAATTAGCATGCAAATATCCTTTTGTGATTAAAAAAGGAAAACACATTTGCTGTTTGACATTTGAGACTTGATTTTGAGCTAAATAATCTAAAGAAATTAGCCCTTTATGGACCAAGAGTGCAAGGGACTAGAAGACATCAGGAGGTGTTTCCTGCTAGGGCACTCTACAGCTGGCATTTAAGTTTAGGAAAATTGAACAGCAGCATTGTTTTAAAAATATATTTTCTTTATTTATGATGAACATATTTTCCAAACCAGAAATTGGGACATGTGTTTGACAAATATATATGAAATTATGGGATCAGTGAGCAGAATTATCAGAAAAAAATTAATAAATACACAGTCATGGTGATGATAATGTAGGTGAGAGTAAAAATAATAGCTAAATAAAATTTATATAGTGCTAATAATATGCCAGGTACTATTCTAAGTGTCTAGCATTAACTCATTTAATAGTTTCAAAGATGTATGAAATAAGTTCTATGTTAATTTCTATTTTTACAAGTGAGGAAATTGAGGCATGAGCCTGCTAGGTAGCAGAGCAAGCTGTGAAGTCAATCTTGCTCTAGAGCCCATACTTTTTATTACTCTACCACATTGCCTCTTTGTATAGTGTACAGGGTAAGCATGAAAGAAGGAAAGCTATATATAGTTCTTAGGTAATGGGAAGTGGTGACCACTACTGGTCCAAACAGATCATATGTAAAAGATTATTGGAGCTTCATTAAACAGCAACTGAGAAACCACATGCCTATTTGTTTGACTCTTATTGCCTCTGGAGTCATGGATGGGAAACCTGGAGCTACTGTCCAGCAAGTGGCCTTCATGGCAAGCTCCCTGGTAACCTAGGTGGGATGCTAAGCAAGAAGAATATTGAGATAGCATTGCCACCACCCCCACAAAACTGGCTAAAAGCAGTGCCACAAACATGGCCCCATCAACTCAAGATCCCATGGGGAACATGATTGGTTATTTGTGAAAATCCAATGCTTTGTTCCCTCTGTCGTATGCACTGTTTGTTTGTGAAGGATGAGGAAGCAGTGGGGCAGTAATTAGAGTGCCTGATATCTGGTTGTAGTGTACCCTGATTGCTAAGAACAATACAAATTGTAGATGACTGCCGGAGAGGTGGGGATGTTTAATGGGTACAAAACATAGAAAGAATGAGTAAGACCTACTGTTTGATAGCACAACAGGGTGACTATAGTCCATAATAACTGTGTATCTTAAAATAACTTAGAAAGTGTAACTGGATTGTTTGTAACTCAAAGGAAAAATGCTTGAGGGGATGGAAACCCCATTCCCCATGATGTGCTTATTTCTCCTTGCATGCCTGTATCCAAATATCCCATGCACCCCATAAATATATGTAACTATTATGTACCACAGTTTTTTTTTCTTTTTTTTTTTTTTTTTAAAACAATACAAGGATCTTCTCAACTCCTTCTGGGCAAATGGCAGGTTGCTGGCACTCATTAAGACCCAGAACAGGCCGGGCGCAGTGGCTCACGCCTGTAATCCCAGCACTTTGGGAGTCTGAGGCGGGCGGATCACGAGGTCTGGAGATCGAGACCATCTTGGCTAACATGGTGAAACCCCGTCTCTACTAAAAATACAAAAAAATTAGCCGGGCGTGGTGGCGGGTGCCTGTAGTCCCAGCTACTCAGGAGGCTGAGGCAGGAGAATGGTGTGAACCCAGGAGGCGGAGCTTTCAGTGAGCCGAGATGGCGCCACTGCACTCCAGCCTGGGCAACAGAGAGAGACTCTGTCTCAAAAAAAAAAAAAAAAAAAAAACCCAGAACAGACAACACATGATATTATAAATGTCACCTAGTTCAGCAACTGGTTTGATATTTTAGACGAAGACTAACCTTTAACCTATTTATGTATGTGTTTATTGCATCTGGAAATATATGCCACTCCATGACCTTGAAGACTCTGTGCCATGAGCTAGTCTTAATATAGGTCAGAATTAGAGGCCACATTGATGTAAACCCCCCAAGAACTTGGACATGAAGAAGATAAGATTCCACACTCAAAAGTTAAATATAAGATCACCACAGGAAGGATCTGAGCAGGCAAATCCAAATTCACTTGGAGGAGACAGGACTGTTCCCAGGCCAACCAATATCTCATTAACAAAAAAGAATGTATGAACATATCTATAAAAGATGTTTTTAAAAAATCAGAATGGGCTTGGTCATTCTCGAGGCATAGAAAGAATGGAGAGTTGTTGAGAAAATTTTGGACATAGTTATATATACAATACTGGAGAAATGGAATCTCAACTGTTGGATCACAAGTATCTCTCAGCCAATGGCAAGGCCATGCTTAGTTTGGAAATAGATGCAGGGAATAGATTAAGTGAACTTATGGTATTTCTGATCCTCATTGGCAACACTATCTCTAGTGGAAATGCTACTTGGGACTTTATTAGACTAGTGACATTGGACAATCATTACTCCTCTTATTCTGATTCTGTCACAGGTAAGCAAACATCTGGTTATGATCTGACTTTCTGTGTAACTCTGAATAGAAAATGCTGTAAACTGAGGACTCAGAGTCCAAATTCAGACCAGAAGATTTTTCTTACATAATTAAATGTTTTTCAATAGTTGCAACTATGTACAAATTGAGAAAGTAATTTGTAATTGATCTTGCTTCCTGTCCAAAAATAGAAAGTTTTGTAAGATTACATTCAAATTTCTAGATAGTAGCAACTGGCTAGAGATAAATAGCAGCTGCTCCTTTTATATGTTTATTTATTTTCCAGCCGTATTGAGGTATACTTAAGGAATAAAAATTATATATATTTTAAGTGTACAATGTGATGTTTTTATAGATGCATACATTGTAAAATGATAACCACAATAAAGATAATTAACATACTAATCACATCACATAGTATGATTTTTTTTTTTTGTGGTAAGAACACTTAAGATCAGATCTTAGCAGATTTCGAGAATATAGTTAGCCTTCCATATCCATGGGTTCTGCATCTGTGGGGTCAACAAACCATGGGTAAAAAATACTCAGAAAAAAACCTGCATCTGTAGTGAACATGTACAGACTTTTTTTCTTGTTATTCCCTAAAATATAGCATATGAAAACTTTTTACATTGTGATATGGTTTGGCTGTGCCCCCACCCAAATCTCACCTTGAATTGTAATAATCCCCACATGTCAAGTCAGACCAGGTGGAGTTAATTGAACCATACTGTTCTTGTGGTAGTGAATAAGTCTCATGAGGTATGATGGTTTTATAAACGGGGGAGTTCCCCTGAACAAGCTCTCTTGCCTGCCACCATGTAAGATGTAACTTTGCTCCTCATTCACCTTCTGCCATGATTGTGAGGCCTCCCCAGCCATCTGGAACTGTGAGTCCATTAAACTACTTTCCTGGCCGGCCCGGTGGCTCACGCCTGTAATCCCAGCACTATGGGAGGCGGAGACGGGCGGATCACGAAGTCAGGAGATCGAGACCATCCTGGCTAACACGGTGAAACCCCCTCTCTACTAAAAAAACACAAAAAAATTAGCCGGGCGTAGTGGCGGGTGCCTGTAGTCCCAGCTACTCGGGAGGCTGAGGCAGGAGAATGGTGTGAACCCGGGAGGCAGAGCTTGCAGTGAGCCGCGATCGCGCCACTGCACTCCAGCCTGGGCGACAGAGCGAGACTCCGTCTCAAAAAAAAAAAAAAAAAAAAGAATTTTAAGGAATCTAGAGATTATTTAAGTATATGTGAGGATGTGCATAAGTTATATGCAAGTATTATGCCATTCTATATCAGGGACATGAACATTCTTGATCTTGGTATGCACAGGAGGTCCTGGAGTCAATTTCCCATGGATATGGAGGGACAACTGTACAATGCAGTATTATTACCTATAGTTTAGTGCCATACATTAGATTTCCAGAACTTATTCATTGTATATAACTGAATCTTTGTACCCTTTGAGCAACATCTCTCTATTTTCCCCATTCCCCGTCCCTGGCAGCCACCATTCTACTCTGTTTTTATGAGTCCAACTGGTTTATATTCTCACAATATAAGTGAGATCATGCAGTATTTGCTTTTCTGTGTCTTGCTTATTTCACTTAGTATGATGTCCTCCAGGTTCATCCATGTTGTCACAAATGACAGAATCGACTTCTTTTTAAGGCTGAATGAAAAAGCAGCTGTTCCTTTTAAACAGGACATTTATTTTCCGTTTACCAGAATATTTGCTATTCCCTATGGTATTTCACCCCGCTGTTTCACCAACCTAACTGCTAGCCCCTTTGGTTTTTTGAGTTTTTATCCTGTGGGCTTAGGAGGGAAATTCTCTGATTACATAAGAGTACATTCTTGATATCTGTGATAATTTCTCATGATGAATGAATAGGGATGTATATCTAGCTTTCTATGTAGCTTGACTGTAATATTAATGCTGACTGAATCTTATGTTTTCAAGAATTTTCTACTTCTTATTGTTAAATTAGAAATTGTCATTCTCATGACTACCTCAGTGTTAGATACCTTTGATTTAGTGAGATTCTGCCTCTAATAAATTATTTATTCCTGGACATAAAAAGAGAAAGGCTGAACTATCTAGGCAAAGCGTCAGATCCTGGAACATGGAGAATAAGGCACTCCTGGATAAGGCATTCTGTCTTCTCCTATATGACAAAGTACTACTTCTGATTTTATTTTATAGGAAAGAAACACTGAAACAAGAGTCACCAGAAATTTAGTTCTGTGTTTGTCTGTCATTAAATTGCCTGTGTGATCATGAAAAAAAATACCTTAACATACCTTGGCTTTGCCCCATAAATCAAATGAAAGAGTTGAACTAAAATCTCTCTGAATTTCTACTTTGCTCTGGTTTTATGTAACTCAACTGTACGTACTTTAACCTTCTGGAGTTCATATGCAGATTTTATGTATGATTTATGCATAATTAAGCCCTGTATGTGAAGGATTTAATAAAACACAAATTTCTGTGTTACTGCCATATTAGCATCTATATTTATATTCAAACACAGAAGGTTAGATTTTGGATGTATTTCAGCAACATTTGGATATCCGATGATTTTTTAAGCTGCTTTTAATCATTAATATAACAGAATTCAAACAAAAACAACAAAATAGGCACATCAAAACATGTTTGACTTGAACAAAAATAGCAAGCAGCTGGGAACACAGGTACACTATGCAAAATAGCCTTGTGCATATCACATTTTACATATTTATAACTGTGTAGCTCCACTGTATTGACAGTTAATGGAGTGTCAATGGGAGAGAAGCTGTCTCAAAGGCTTATTTTTATTGGACAAAGGAAAAAAGGGCCTGGAAGCCTGGTTTTCTTTTTGTCAAATCAAGTTATCTAGGAGAATAAATCATCCATTTACTTTGGACATGCTACTTATGTTCCTATTTTTCCAAGAGCTAACTCAGTAATACCAGGATAGAGTCATCTTCATTTATGTCCAAGTTGAGTCTAGAAAACAGAAACAATGTTTTCTATATAATTACTTTAGCGATTATGGAGGAAGGTGATGCATTTGACTAGCAAATTGATATAAACAAAAAACTCCAAAACCAAAAAACTAAAGGTTTACCATCAATACAGAATATGTAGTAATTTCACTAGGTATTTTCTACTAGATATCCAACGGAACAGAAGGGAGTAGAATGAAGAATATAGAAAATGAGGTTATAATTCCTTCCTTTGCAATATAGTTAAGAAAGACAAGGCATATACTACTGCTTTAAGTCTTATTGTATAATTTAAATATAATAGGAAAATGAAGAGAAAAATGTGAAAGTGTTATCTTTGCGTGACATAATATTGGTAATAAAAACCTTATTGTCAGGACTGGAGAAGTAGTGAGTAGGGCTTAGGTTTAGTTTGTGGTCCATGAAGCAAAACTGTGGGGCACTGCTGATTTCATAGGCAGGAAATTCACTAAGATACACCAAAAGCAAAGTTATAGATAAATTTGGAGGCATGATTATTGAGAGTATCCAAAGATCAGTCATTAGGGAAAAAAGTGAGATAATTAAAGACAAAGAGTTCTAGGGTGATCCAGTTTGGAATCTGCATTGCACCATTGTGGCCCAAATCTCTATATAGGATATGTGTCTAGCTATGTGTGTCTTGTTATATTAGTTCTCTGTTAGTATTAGCTATCTGTTGCTGCATAATAAATTACTCTCCAAAACTTAGCAGCTTAAAATAACAAGTTCACAGCTTTTGTAGATCAGAAATTTGGGAGCAGCTTAGCTGGGTGTTTCTGGCCCAGGATCTCTCATGAGGTTGAGTCAAGATGTCAACCAGGTCTGCAGTCATCTGAAGGCTTGATTAGGGATAGAGGCTCTGCTCCATTTGTTCACATGGCTATTGGCAAGGGGTCCCAAGTTCTTGCTATGTGAGCCTCTACCTAGGGCTGCTTGAGTGTCAGCTAGCAACTGGCTTTCCTAGAGTGAGTGGTCCAAGAGACAGAGCAAGGAGAAAGTCACTATGCCTTTTGTGTTTTAATAGATAAGTCACATACCAAGATTTCTGCCACTTACTAAAGCACACAGCAAAGGAGAGGGGAATTAGGTTCCTTACGCTTTGAAGAGAGAAGTATCAAATAATTTGTGGACATACTTTAAAGCCACTGCAGTGTGATAAATGTGTACTATATCACCTGAAAGTGAATTGGAGTTATTGGGTAAGGCTTCTTGGAAGAGATGTGCATTAATCAGGATCCTAACAGGAAACAGATAATTTTCATAAGATTTAGTAAAGAAACTATTTACAAAAATGCATTCAGGGTATATGGAAACCACAAGGGATGCTGCATTACCATGAGGCTAATAGCAACCAGGCCATTGCCATCTGAAGGGATTAAGAAATGGAGTAATTCTTAGGACCTGGAAGAAAGGAGTCTTGTGGAGAGACCTGCCTATTATTGAGGAATAAAATCTAGGTCCAGATCCCTTATAAGAATAGATTAGAGGAGGCCAGGTATGGTGGCTCACGCGTGTAATCACAGCACTTTGGGAGGCCGAGGTGGGCGGATCACCTGAGGTCGAGAGTTCGAGACCAGCCTGACCAACATGAAGAAACCTTGTCTCTACTAAAAATACAAAAATCATCCGGGTGTGGTGGCACGTGCCTGTAATCCCAGCTACTTGGGAGGCTGAGGCAGGAGAATTGCTTGAACCCGGGAGGCGGAGGTTGGAGTGAGCTGAGATTGCACCATTGCACTCCAGACTGGGCAACAAGCAGCAAAACTCCATCTCAAAAAAAAAAAAAAAGAAAAAATAGATTAGAGGAATAAATACCACAACCTCACCCTCTTCTCTCTTCCTTTCCCATCTTCTGCCTGGGCTTCCTTTTCGTCAAACATAATTGACAGCTAGCGGTCACGGGGATCTATCAATGTAGTCCATCAGCCATCTGCATAGAGGTCAAGGTCAAAGGATGGAGAGCAGACCTGGAGGGGTAAATAAAGGATCTCTTTCATAAGAAGAGAAATGAACTTGGTCTTGAAGATGAGGAAGGAGGGCCATTGAGAGCTGTATGCATAGTAAGTGCAAAAGATAAGAATAAACAAATCTAAGTCTACCAAAACTGAAGTTATGCGGTCCAGAGAGGTCAAAACAGGTTGGATATGGCTAGAGCCATGTTATGGGGGCTCCTGAAAAAGGCAGGAGTTCGGACTTCATATTAGAGGCAGCACTTGACAGTTTTTACACCGAGGTGTGCCAAGATAATAGGAAGAGGGAGCGGAAAACGTAAGAGACTTATGTTTGGTTAGATATAAGGAATAAATGAAGCAATGTCCACAAAAATTCAGTTTTGAATAACCTTTTTTTATTTTTTTGAGACGGAGGCTCACTCTGTCACCCAGGCTGGAGTGCAGTGGTACCAACTCGGCTCACTGAAACCTCCGCCTCCCAGGTTCAAGTGATTCTCCTGCCTCAGCTTCCCTAGTAGCTGGGATTACAGGTGCCTGCCACCACGCCCAGCTAATTTGTGTATTTTTAGTAGAGACGGGGTTTCACTATGTTGGCCAGGCTGGTCTCGAACTCCTGACCTCAGGTGATCCACCCGCCTCAGCCTCCCAAAGTGCTGGGATTATGGCGTGAGCCACTGCGCCCAGCCAAATAACCTTTCAAGTAAAAGAAATACTAAGTACTATTAATAAATGGTCAAATGAATAAAAATGTGAATTTGTTTGAATGAGGTATCCTCATTTATAGACTCATAGTTTCTACAATTTGCCAGAACTGCAAGAAAGCCTACAATTATAGACATTCTAACCTAAAAAATTATACTGAAGTATGAGTATAGGAATGAAAAAAATGTTATAAAAGAAACAATCATAACAAATTAGTCATTAACCTTCATAAGGAGATCTGTTCTTTGAATAGCACTGGTAGGCATGAGCTTAAGATTTAGCTTGGACACAACTGTTTACTCAAATATCCATCTATGGTTTGGATAATCAGTAGGGAAGTCCTGTGAGATGCAAGTAGTCCTTCCTCCTGATTTGACTTGAAGCACACAGAAAGGATTATCTTTTATATCTACATGAGTGATTTTAATGGTGATAAACCTAAGAAGAAACATTGATGTGTATGCCATAGTTTAGAAAAGAATAAAAGTATGATAGAGCTTAAAGTGAATCCTGCTTGAATCATATCTGTTCCTTCATTACATCCAACCTGCTATCAATAGCAAATCAGAGGGAAAAAGCAGCAGTGAATATTTGGAAATTGCTAATACAGAGTAGAACATGTGAGAGGTACGTGAGTGATTATGCTCAGTGACACTAACATAACATTTTATGGCAAACCCTGGTTTACATGGCACGATGTTAAGCATAAATTCCCTAGCTGCACTTCCACGCATTTAGAATGTAGAGATAATTCCTGTTAACAGTGATGGTCCTTGAATGCCTGCTGAGTTTAATTTAACAGAGAAAAAGGAAATTACATTCTGAATGTGTGTACTTTGTGTTGTACGTTCTTTCCTGATACTTCGAAAATTACCAGTGCAGTTAAGGGCATTGTAATAATTAATCAGGATAAGGAATCAAATGTAATTCTTGTTCAGACCTTACCTAGCAAACACCACAGGGCAATTTCAGGCCTCAATACGTCTGCAGGACCTTTTAGAAACTATATGCCTCAGGGGCGTGAACACTTGAAAAAATTCTGCAAAATATTACTCAGTGTAATGTTACTTACATTAATTCTCTCAATTTTATTTTATTTTTATTTTAAAAAATTATTTTATTTATAATTTCAACTTTTATTTTAGATTCAGGGGGTACATATGCAGGTTTGTTACCTGGGTGTATTGTATGTTGCTGAGGTTTGGGGTACAATTGATCCTGTCACCCAGTGCTGAGCATAGTACCCGATAGTTTTTCAACCCTTACCCACCTGCCCTTGCCTCCAAGTGGTCCTCAGTGTCTATTATTACCAGTTTTATGTCCATGAGTACTCATTGTTTAGCTCCCACTTATAAGTGAGAACATGTGGTATTTGGTTTTCTGTTCCTGTGTTAATTTGATTAGGATAATGGCCTCCAGCTGCATCCATATTGCTGTAAAAGACAATTTCATACTTTTTTATGGCTTTGTAGTATTTTGTGGTGTATATGTACCTCATTTTCTTTACCCAATTTACCACTGATGGGCACCTAGGTTGATTCTCTGTCTTTGCTACTGAAATTCACTGATTTTTTTAAGTGCCTAGAAATTGCAAGTCACAGTACAGTGGTGAAAAATACAAATACATTCCTAGCGCTGATGGAGATTGCAAACTAGCAGGTATCACTGAATAAAAAACACAAATGATTAATTTACTATCATACTAAGTGTTACAAGGATCTATATGGATGCTAAGAGATCCTGGCCCAGTCTGGTGGGCTGGAGAATGTTAAGTTCTGTTAGCATTAGCTTCCCAACTAACATCTCAAAAATTGCCACTCAAAACAAGGAGTATAGCAGTAACTAAAGAACAAATAAGGAACCACCAACCAACATCTCTTCCCCAGTTAACCTTTTTTCCCCCAAATTAAACGGTTAGAGTTTATTTCACAGAACATCGTCTGACCATGGAAATCCATGAAGAACTGGGAAGCTGTTGGTGTAAGGGAACCCTAACTTTTATGTTTTCACCATGGCCCATAAGAAATAGTGATCCCACATAGTCTCTTTATTAAGAATCAGTGTTGGAAAATAAAATGGATATGAATTGGTCATATTCCATGATTATTAGTGACAAATTTAATCTAATAGACTCTACGTCTTTACCTTAGTGACTGAGTTCAACTCTGTCCTGCTCTGTTGTTTGTCTTGTTGGCAAAGGAAAGAAAACACACAGGTGGTAGAGTGGGTGTGGGGGAAAGCCCTATACTCAAGTTAGCTTGGTCAAGCCCAAGATGGGAAGTCTAAGAGATTCATGGTTAAAAAGATGCAAGATATCATTGCCAAAGGTAAAAGAGGCCAAAATAAAAGGCTCGGGACTCATTAGCACCGTCAGAACATTATCTTGTTCATAACACTCATTTTTAAAACTTGTGGTTGGTTTATTTGAAAGCTTGGAAAGTTAATACTGTTATGTTGTATGTACGTGGGTATGTATTTATGTGTAATGCACACACATATGACTTGAAATAATATATTCCAAAAAAAAATTATTGAAATCCCAAGAGAAAAATAAGTCAAAGAAGAAACATCCAAATAAGTGAAGGAAAGGGAAATGCTATTATGTAAGCTATTATATTATCCACCAGCAGCTGGATAATAAAACAGCTCAGGTCAGAAAGAGGTCACCCAAGATACTCTATCAAACTGGCCCAAGACTGCCTCCTCCCTTAGGCCTCATCTCATTCTGGGCTTAGATTTTTCTGCAAATCATGGTAATTGGGAATCAATTCACACAGCTGTGAACCACTGCTCACAGATACAGAGGGAACAGATTTGAAGTTGAGCATCTCTGCTGGAAGGAGAAGGGAAGTGACTTGTTTATGTACCATTTCATCACTCCTCCCAAGAGGCACTACCCCTGGGTTTATGTTCTGTGAAAGGTGCAGTGACATTGCGGTTTTAAAGCAAGTGGAAGATTGGCCTGCTATTAGAATTAGGGGACTTGGATTCAATTCTAAGTTAAAATCATGAAATGTTAGTGTTGCCAGGAGACTATGTATGATCTAATCCAATTTTCTCCTTTTACAGGTGAGGGGCCTTTGAACCACAGATGTTAAACGATTTGCCATGTTAGTTAATGATAGCATCTGAACTAGAATCACCAGTAGCCGTACTACTGCTTCTATAACATTGTTCTTCTTCTGGGACCTTGAGGCTCATGTCAATCAATTGTAGCAATTTCCTTTCTTCCGTGTCCTTATCATTTATTATGTTTAAAGTTTTCCATCATCATTGAGAACTCCGTCATATGGTTTATCATTTTTGTTTTGTCATTCTTATTCTTGTTCTCATCCAGGTGATCTTAATATTGATATAGCTCATTAATTAGATTTGCTAAATTCAGATATTGTTTTCATCTTTTACTCTGTTTACCTTCATTTTCTTTCAACAGCAAACTCCCATGATGCCATCCTGAACCATATGTACTCCAGAACTACATCACATCTGAAGTCACAAAATCTAATATTCTACAATCATTACAACTTCTTTTCTTCCGGTCACACATTACTTCACCTACATTGGTTACAGGGTACCCTGTTGAAACAAACGGACTCCAAATCCAAGGGCTCTTCCTCATGTTATAGTGTAGAAGTGAGTGGTGCAGGGTGGCAGATAGCTCTGTTTTATAAGGTCATCGAGGAACACGAGTGTTTTCTATCTCATAGTTTTGTCACCCTCTAGGGGACCGTCTTTGTTCACATATTTAAAGCTAGTTATTACTACCACTTACACTTTCTAGCCCTTAGGAAGAAGAGAGAGAATGAAGGACTAGGAGTTTTCTTATTAAAGGATGTAGTCCAAAAGTTGCACATATTTCTTACGCCCATACGCTGTTGGCTAAAGCTTGGTCCCATGGTCTTAACTACCTAAAAGAGACATTGGGAAACATAGTCCCTAGCTGAGCAATCTTGTGTGCAGCCAAAAATTGGGATGTTCTGTTGCTGAAACGAAGAAAGAGGGAGTTGTTTTGGGGACACAATTCGCTGTTTCTGCCACTACTCTTACTGCACTTCCATTATTGACTTCATTGGAATCCCTAGTTCTTTGTTCCAACATTTATAGCCAATTTCATCAGGGCTTTTCTGGTCTTACTTTTTGCTCTCCACAGTAAAAATCCAATGGTACACTGCTTTTCAAAAAACTATGCTTTTCGAGATAGTATTTTAGTTTGTATAGTTTTCAGAAACTAGGTCTCACCAATTCTTTTTTATTTTAGATTTAGGGGGTACATATGCAGTTTTTTTAAACCTGGGAATATTGTGTGATGCTGGGGTTTGGGGTACAAATGATCCCATTACTCAGATACTGAGCATAATACCCAACAGTTATTTTTCAACACTTGCCCCACTTCCATCCTCCACACTTTAGTAGCCCCAAGTGTCTACTATTGCCATCTTTATGTCCGTGAGTACCCAATGTTTCAGCTCCTACTAGCAAGTGAGAACATGTGTTAATTGGTTTTCTGCTCCTGTGTTAATTTGCTTATCATGATGGTCTCCATTTGCATCCATGTTGCTGCACAGGACATGATTTCACTATTTTTTATGGCTGCATAGTATTTCACTCACCAATTATTTCAAAAACTTATCCCAGTTACCCTCCTGCAACATCGATCTTAATTTATCATTATGTGTTCCTATTTGACAGTAGATGAGTGACTCTGGAGAAACTCACACAACTGTTCTTATTAGTATTGATGTACTTTGGCATTTCTAATTCACTAGGGGCCATCCTACTTAAATTCCAACAGAATCTGCTAAACTATAAGCCCCTCTAGGACGACAGTAATTCATCTTTTTTTATGTCCAATGTCTAGCACATTGTCTGGTTCTGGATGAATTTTAAAGAGTTTTGCTGGATGAAAATATGAATACTAATGTCTTTCCAATTTGGAATATTTATTAACATTTAAAAATCAGCCTTTCATCTTTTCTGTTTAAAGGTAACATCGTCCTTCTTATTTAAGGCTAATATCATCATTATAGTATTACTTTTTTCTCATATATCACATTTTCTCAGTAACAAATGTCTGTGGATTCCACTTATAATAAATCTCTTTCAACTTGTTCTCTTTATTCACAATCATACATTATAGGCATATATTATAGCTCCACACCCTACTTCCAGGTGATTGCAATAACTTAATTTTTATGTCTTCTACTAGTCTTATTACCCACAAATTTATCCTTCATGTTACAGTAAATAAATGACCTACATGTTTATCTTCTCTTATTACCAAGTACTCATTTCGTGGTAATGAGAACACCAATTGATGAAAGAGTTCAACAAAACATTGGAAAGTGGGAAACAGGTGGATTATTGTTAAAATTATTTAACAGTGTGCAGAGGGCCATAATTTAATCTGCGGGCAGTAGAAGAGACTAACAAAAAGAAATCTGTTCATCCTTCAAAGCCGTAGGTTTAAAAGCATGAGTTCCCATGGATGGTGAGGAAGAAGAGTGGGGTAAGAAATCAGGGATGTATGTATGTAAGAAATACATACACAAATCACTGACATTTAGGAAATTCCTCCTAGACTAGAGTTTAGAGATTTATGATACTGAAAAGTCAGTCTGAGTGGACTGAGATTTAGGGTCTTATCAGAATTAATTTTGAGTCTCTAATCTAAAAAATGAGATGATCATTTCCCTTTTCTCCCACCACATTCACAGAACAGCAGCAGCTTGGCATCTACATCACAAACAGAAGCCTGAAATTTTTCTCAGAAAGACCTGAAAACGCCCTGAGAAAAGGCTTCCAAAATTTGAAGAACTCCATAAGGAGGCTAACTCCATGACTAACCACTCAGAAATAAAGCCTTCTAGTAAAAATTCCTGGCCTGCAGTCAGAACTAATAAGCTTCTCTTTAAGTATCTCTTTGATGTATCAACAAAAATTACTGAATAATTGTGAAAATGCTATCACCTAAAAAAGAGAAAAGAGTAAAATTAAATAAATAAGTCAGATGTTGATAAGGCAGGGAACAAAAAAATTTTAAAAATCAATTACCAATTACTGTAGCTAGATTACTAGGATTGACTTTGGGCTGCAATTCACCTTAAGCAAGCTACTTAGTTTCTCTGTGACTCAGTTTCCTTGTTTAAAAAAGAATGCGTCTCCAAGAACCATATGAGAATAAAATATTTTAAAACATAAAAAGCACATGGAAGCATACCTGACAGATAGTAATCATTCAGGAAGTGTTTGATATTATAATAATTTAAACTTAAAGCAGTGATATAATTATGTTGGGATGGGAAACAGAGAGAGATAAGGTGGTGGGTAAGAGATTTAAAAGTAGGGTGACTGTGTAGTATGTAGTTTAACTTCCAAAGTGGGACACTTTGAGAGTAAAAAGAAATGCTATTGATATGATGCTAGAAAGTAATTAACTGCGATTATTCCAGGCAAAATAGGAAACAAAGGTCTTATAGAGACTTATCTATACAATTAGAAAGGATACGATGTTTAAAATTTATAAATCAAGAAAATGCCCATGTATTTGAGAATTCTCTCTCCCTGGCATGAAGCCTGTCCGTGGTTTCCCCTCAGTTAGATGTTCACGTTAAAGCTATTTAATGTCCTATCTGATGGCCTGTGTAGCTTCCTTTCTTGCCATTTCCCTTCTTGGTCAACAGTAACATGACCCTGTGTTCCTTAAACATGCCAGAGTTTGCCATTCTTTTACCATCATCTAGAATGCTATTTCCTACCTGCTTCACAAACTGTGTGGCTTAAACAGCATAAATTTAATGTCTCGCAGTTTTAGAGCCTAGAAGTCCAAAATCAAGGAGTCATCTGGGTTGGTTCTGCAGGCTTTGAGGAAGGATCTTTTCCAGGCTCCTCTCCTTGGCTTTTCGATGGCCATTATCTTCCTGAGTCTTCACCATTGTCTTCTCTTTATGCATCTCTCTGTATCTATATTTATTTTCATTTTCTTTTTTTTTTTTAATAGACAGGGTCTCACTCTGTCACCCAGGATGAAGTGCAGGTGTGATCATGGTTCACTGTAGCCTCACACTCATAGGCTCAGGTGATCCTCTGATCTCAGCCTCCCAGGTTGCTGGCACTACAGGCGAGGCACGATGTCTGGCTAATTTTTTGAAAAGTTTTTGTAGAGATGGGGTCTCACCGTGTTGCTCAGGCTGCTCTTAAACACCTGGCCTCAAGTGATCATCCCACCTCAGCCTTCCAAAGTGCTAGGATTATAGGCATGAGCTGTTACACAGCACCCACAGTTTCTCTTTTTATAAGGACACCAGTTATGTTGGATTAGGGCCCACCCTAATGACCTCATTTTAACTTGATTGCCTCTGTAAAACCTATATCTCCAAATAAGGTCATGTCCTGAGGTACTGAGTGTTAAGACTTCAACATGTTATTGAACCAACAATTCAATGCGTAATATTTAAGTGAAATTCAATTTATTTTATAAAACCCAACTAAAATACAACCTGTTTTAAGGCTCTATTTTGCTCCCCCCATCCTGCTTCAGAGTTATCCCTAAAAACTGTATGAATCACTGCAACTTGCATAATTCTATAGTTGCTTTTAGCTTAGACTGTAATTGATTTATTTGCAAACTAATATTTGCCTCTCTATTAGACCATGCACAATTTGAGACTAGAAAGTATTATATTTATCTCAGTATCCTCAGAACTTAGCATAAAATAAGATTGCGATTATATAATCATTACCATGAACACCAAAAAGCTTTATGAAAATTTATATTATTTTACTTATTAAATATGTAAGATAGTATAAGTTTTCCACCTCTCTCTTTTTTAACTTTTATTTTAGGTTTGGGGTACATGTGTACATGTGCAGGTTTGTTATACAGGTAAACTGCATGTCACGGGGGGTCTGGTGTATAGATTATTTTGTTACCCTGGTATTTAATAATGAGCATAGTACTTGATAAGTAGTTTTCTGATCCTCCCCCTCCTCCCACTCTTCAGCCTCAAGTAGGTCCTAGTGTCTGTTGTTCCCTTTTTTGTGTCCATGCAGTCTTTGTTTTTCTGTTTGTGTGTTAATTTCCTAAGAACGATGGCCTCCAGTTCCATCCATGTTGTTGCAAAGGACATGATCTTTTTCTTTTTTATGGCTGCTTAGTATTCCATGATGTATATGTACCACATATTCTTTATCCAGTTTACTGTTATTGGGCATCTAGGTTGATTCCATGTCTTTGTTATTGTAAACAGTGTTGCAATGAACATACATATGCATGTGTCTTTATGATAGAATGATTTATATTCCTTTGGGTTTATACCCAATAATGGGATTGCCAGATTCGGTAATCTGAATGGTAATTCTGTTTTAAGTTCTTTGAGGAATTGCCACCCTGTTTTCCACAAGGGCTGATCTAATTTATGCTCCACCAGCAGTATATAAGTGTTCCCTTTTCTCCATAACATCTGTAATTTCCTGACTTCTTAATAATGGTCATTCTGACTGGTGTCAGATGGCATCTCATTGTGGTTTTGATTTGTATTTCTCTAATGATCAATGATATTGTGCTTTTATTCATATACTTGTTGGCTGCGTGTATGTCTTCCTTTGAAAAGTGTCCATTCATGTCCTTTGCCCACTTTTTAATAGGGTTATTTGTTTTTCTCTTGTAAATTTAAGTTTCTTATAGATGCTGAATACTAGACCTTTGTCAGATGCATAGTTTACAAATATTTTCTCTCATTCTGTAGGTTGTCTGCTTATTCTGTTGATGGTTTCTTTTGATCTTTAGTTTTGATTAGATCTTTAGTTTTAATTAGACTCCATTTGTCAATTTTTGTTTTTTTGTTGCCATTGCTTTTTGTGTCTTCATCATGAATTTTTTTGCCAGGTCCTATGCCTAGAATGATATTTCCTTGGTTATCTTCCAGGGTTTTTATAGTTTTGAGTTTTACATTTAACTCTTTAATCTGTTTTCAGTTGATTTTTATAGATAGTGTAAGGAAGGGACTGTTTCAATTTTCTGCATATGGCTAGCCAGTTACCCTAGCACCATTTATTGAATAGGGAGTCCTTTCCTCATTGCTTGTTTTTGTCAGCTTTGTCAAAGATCAGATGGTAATAGGTGTGTGGCCTTATTTCTGGGCTCTCTATTCTGATCTATTGATCTCTGTCTGGTTTTGTACCAGTACCGTTCTGTTTTGGTTACTATAGCCTTGTAGTATACTTTGAAGTTGGGTAATGTGATGCCCCCAGCTTTGTCTTTTTGCTTAAGATTGCCTTGGCTATTTGGGCTCTCTTTTGGTTCCATATGAATTTTAAAATAGTTTTTTTCTAATTCTATAAAGAATATCATTGACGGTTTGATAGGAATATCATTGAATCTATAAATATCTTTGGGCAGTATGGCCATTTAAATGATATTGATTCTTCCTATCCATGGGCATGAAATATTTTTCCACTTGTTTGTGTAATTTCTGATTTCTTTGAGCAGTGTTTTGTAATTGTTGTAGAGATCTTTCACCTCCCTGGTTAGCTGTATTTCTAGGTTGTTTTATTCTTTTTGTGAATGGGGTTGCATTCCTGATTTGACTGTCAGCTTGGATGTCATTGGTACATAGGGATGCTACTGATTTTTGTACATTGATTTTGCTGAAGTTATTTATCAGATCAAGGAGCTTTTGGGCAGAGAATATAGGCTTTTCTTTTTTTTTTTTTTGAGACGGAGTCTCGCTCTGTCACCCAGGCTGGAGTACAGTGGCTCAGCCTCGGCTCACTGCAAGCTCCGCCTCCCGGGTTCACGCCATTCTCCTGCCTCAGCCTCTCCGAGTAGCTGGGACTACAGGCGCCCGCCACCACGCCCGGCTAATTTTTTTTTTTATTTTTAGTAGAGACGGGGTTTCACCGTGGTCTCGATCTCCTGACCTCGTGATCCACCCGCCTCGGCCTCCCAAAGTGCTGGGATTACAAGCGTGAGCCACCGCGCCCGGCCAGGCTTTTCTAGATATAGAACCATGTCATCCGCAAACAGGAATAGTTTGAATTTTTCTCTTCCTATTTGGGTGCTTTTTATTTTTCCCTCAACTTCTCTTAAAATAACTTGTTTCACAAGATTAGTGCAAGAAGACATTTTTAACACTTTTCTTTTTGTAACTGTATTTTCTCAATTTCCTTAGAAATCAACAGAAACTTCAGTTAGTTGTTGATGACTTACCAAATTGAAGGCCTTTTTAAATTTGAGTCAAATATACCAAAGGATTTAGAAATATCTATATCTGTATGTAGATATAAATATATACACATATCTGTATATATCACCTGGTTAAAATGTGGACAGTCTCTGGGGTAAAAGTGTGAATACACAATTCTTTTCCAATTTAAGGATGAGTTTTGGTATTGTGTGTATTTAGTACAAACAATACGGTTGACAGCAAAGGAGACTTAAAACATGGAAAAAGCTGAATTATGTAGAATTCTTCTATTTTTTGACATTCCATTTCATTTTTGTTCACATATCTATAAAATTTGCACACCAGTAACCATAGTATAGATGTGATTTTTGTCATTTCCTAAAACTTAAGATTTTATCCAGAGCACTTTTCTTTTGTTGTAAGAAGGAAGAGGGCTAAAAAGCATAGCCTTTAGCCTTTTATTAAAACCAGAAATATTTCTAGTTCTCTGTTACATTTCCCCAATCCCAGAATAATGGTGTCTGTTGCCTGTGGCCATGTAGGCCAATTGGTTACAGCATTGTGTCTCTGGGTGCAGGCTGACTGGAAGAAGTTCTAGCTCTGTCAGGACATATTAGCCTCACACAGTTCTGAGGTCACCTCCCTCTCTGTGACCATTCATAAAGTTCCCAAGAGGATCGATTTAGAGAGGGTAAGTGGGTGTTTCCAATGTGGTAGTAAGCACTATGAATACCCTCTTTGGGAAAATAATATGAAACCACAACTCTGAATCAACCTGTAAGAAGAGATTCAGCATTAATCATGGGAAAATTATAATCCAGCTGATTGTTTATCCAGAGCAGTGCAGGGACTTGCCTCTCAATGTTTACAATACCTGAAATAGGATTAACTGGGTTGACGGAAAGGTCCTGTCAAAGTACAGATTACTACCCTGTCTTTCTCCTGAAGCTTTGTACAATGCTGTCTTGTTTGTTCATACCAAAATTCCGAGGAGAGCGGAGCTTTCTCAGATATGTTCAGAATCTTTTTCTTTTTACAAAAAAATATAAATTCCAACCCCTGTGTTCCTATGTATTTCACATTTATAAAACAGTTTAAAAAATTACATAAAGTCACAAGACAGAAAACATTTAGAAGATAGCTATTATCTCATAAGTTTTATGTGTTGTGAATCAGTTTTGTTGTAAATGTTCAATAAACTCAGTGATCCTTTCTTTTTTTCTTTTGTCTCTCTTCCACTTTATCTGGCAGGTGTTTTGTATCAAATTCTATAAAAAATCAGCATAAATTCTGATATTTGGAAAAGCACCTTGCTCTGTCTCTCCTATGCAGTTTTAAAAGTGCTTGTGATGGTTTCTAAACCTAAACATAAATTGGAGCTTTGTTTACTTTTGCACTGTCTATACGAAAAATAACACAACCTGCCCTTCAAAAGACAGATAATATAATTAAATAGAGTGTCGAAGGAGAGGACCATCATCAGTCCCAAGGTGCTGGGTAATATGGCTTCAAAAAATATGGTGTTATTCCAACCTCCCCAACAGCACTTGGGATTTCCTGTTGAAAGGGGAACTGAGCGACAGGACTAGCTGGATTTCCTAGGCTGACTAAGAATCCCTAAGCCTAGCTGGGAAGGTGACTACATCCATCTTTAATCATGGGGCTTGCAACTTAGCTCACACCCGACCAATCAGGTAGTAAAGACAGCTCACTAAAATGCTAATTAAGTAAAAACCAGGAGGTAAAGAAAGAGCCAATCATCTATCGCCTGAGAGCACAGGGGGAGGGACAGAGGGACAATGATTGGGATATAAACCCAGGCATTCGAGCCAGCAATGGCTACCCTCTTTGGGTGCCCTCCCTTTGTATGGGAGCTCTGTTTTCAGTCTATTAAGTCATGCAACTGAAAAAAAATGGCATTATTGATGGCTGAGTTAACATGATATTATTGTCTTGTTTTATTATAAATAATCCGGGTTAGAGTCTCTTTTTTTAAAATTCTGAACTTATTTATTTCAGGTCTTGTCCCTGGGAACCTATTCTACTTTGTGTAATTGCTTTAAAATTAAACAAAAAAACAAACATAACCACTGTATTCTGCATATATAAACATACAAATAATAATATATGATTTAAATAAGCCTTTATAGGGAAAATGTTATTTTATTAGAAGTGAAAATAGCTCTGTTATTTAGATTTAGAGCTTTATTTTTTCAAATGTCTCCTGTGGCTAGGAATGAGATAACCAAATGTCCGTATTTCCAAAGAGTTTCAAAAGATGAGGCCCCAAGACATTCAAACTGAAATTCAATAGTACACAGTATAAAACTACCATAGAAAAATAATGCAAAAAATAAGAAATATCTTCAAATTGTCCTTGGTCTTTCAGGGAAATGTGATAAGATTCCTTTGACTGACAAAATGAGAGAAAACATTTGATATAGTTTCTCGCAACACTGTAAATGTGAGTCAAATTGATGTGGAAAATAACAGAACTTCACGAACTAAAAACTAGCTCAAAATGCCAGTAAAAATAGAGACATAATATACATGGACCTAGAGAGTTTCCCAATCAGGAAAGATGAGAGTGCAGAGAAAAAGCACCTAGGATGATTAAGAGAAGGAAGGCAGAGATTGATAACATGATAAGGGTGTCAGTATGAATAATGTCACTAAGAAACTCTGGAACAAGTTAGGATACAAATAAATTAAATCTAAGCAAGGCAGTCTCAAAAAGGCCTCTGAGTAATGCTAACAAACAATGATTTAGCACACCCAGTAAAAAGTAGAATTACCAGCCTGGGCAACATGGTGAAACCCCATCTCTAGTAAAAATACAAAAACTAGCCAGGTTTGGTGGCCCACACCTGTAGTCCCAGCTACTTGGGGGGCTGAGGTGAGAGAATGATTTGAGTCTGAGAGGTTAAGGCTGCAGTGAGCTGAGATTGTGCCACTGCACTCCAGCCTGGGTGACAAAGTGAGACCCTGTCTCAAAAAAAAAAAAAAAGTAGAGTTCGGAAAGGGAAAATAAAGGAATGGAATAAAAAAGTAAGAAAAAGCAGCTTCTTATTTGTAGACACAGCTTAAAAATGATCCAAATAGTGCAATGTTTGTTGCCATTCTCTTCCACCATTCTCTTCTTTACCTCCTCACCACACACAAATACTCTCCTCATTCCTTTCATTGTCACTTGAAGAAACCCCAATGCCATTGCTTTCAAAGATTTATCATATGTTAGGGGAGAGATGGAGGAGAAGTGAAGTGAATATAGATGATAATAGGTCCCAGCGAGAAAGATTGCTTTCTGCTTCCTGGCCAAACCCTCAGGAACTGGAGAGAGGAGACTGCATGGTGTTTTCAATAGCCATAGAGAAATTTCTAAGCCCCAACATAGCATGAAAGGAGCAAAGAAATGCAAAGGAGGCATGGAAGTAGCAGAGTCTCCTGCCATAAGGAAGCCAGTTGACATGGATAAGGAAATGTTCATGGACAATCTCTGTGAGTGATGACTGAGGACCCGATGAGATGTCTCAGCAGGCAGGCACCTGTGTGAACAGATGGCATCAAGTACTAGATGCCTTAGCCCTACAACTTAGGACTGTTCAAAGTCTCTATAAATTGAACACTATTCCTAGGAAAGCTCACACTACAGAGATCAAATTTCTGTCATCTTGGCTGAAAGGGGACTATATAAAAAACTAAATTGTTATAGAAAACTAAATGCAATTATAATTTTCACACCTGATTTGTGAATTGATTTATCCTTTTACACTGATTTATCATTGTGCACTAAGAATGCATGAAACCTCAAATCCTAAATTTAGAAGTATGGGAGCATCCTTAAAAAATTTTTAAAAATTAAATTAACTTGCAATATTTTCCCAACTGAATTTAGCAGTATATACATGCTTTCTTTTTTATTTAAATTTTTAGTTAAAAAGCATTAAAACTATAATTAATAAGCTTAAGTTATAGAAAAATATTACCAGAAAGACACTCTAATAAGCATTTTTCATGAATTGTTTCATTTAGTCTTTAAGAAAACTCTTAGGTGACAGGTTCTATTATTATCTCCACTTTACAGATGAGAAAATGGAGGAACAAAGAGGTTAAATATATGGTTGCAGTTTGCATATCTGGTAAGTGGTAGATCTAGGATTTTGAACTTGATCTCTGACTGCAGAGCCTGTGGTATTAGTCATTGATGAGTATGGATGGCCACTGTGATATGAGTCATCGCCACCAAAGGTCATGGCAGGAGCTTTGCGGCTCTGTTCTCCTGCTTCTCCAGAGTTGAAGCTATATTCATGTTTCAGGTGATGCTTGGGGCTATGATTAAAATTAGGCAAGCCCATTTTTATAGCTTAATTAATACTATAATTGTGCTATAGAGCAAACACCAAAAAAACTTCTCTAGTTTGAAAATACTAGGTAAGGCAGCAAAACCTAGGATAAATAGGAGGCTAGTGGGGTTGACAGGAAGGAAGAAATGACCACTTACATTATCTCAGATAATTCTTGAGACACCTTTGGGAAATAAATGCTATGATTTCTATTTTTCACTGGAGGAAACTGAAGATCACTGACTTTAAATGATTTGCTTAACTGGGAAGTGGCAGAGCCAGGATTCCAATCTGGTTCTGACTCTAAAGAATTCACTTTGTTATGTTCCGTTACCCCTCAAAAATACTCTGATGTAGGCACACTATTAATTGAACAAGTTATTTGTGGTTTAGGTTGAGAACACATGCAGTATTTTTAATACTCTTTCTGTGGGAAAGAGAAGTATAAAGCCAATTTAAAAATTAAATTCTGGAACACAGCTCATTTGAAATGAGAACTACCTACTTTGACACCAGAAAGAAAGAGAAAAAAACCACACTTCATTTGGGATGATAACTTTACATCTAGATTTTTAAGGTTGTGAAATATATTCTATACAACATGCAAAATGTTTATTGAGTCAGCAATATTAGCATCAGCAGGTTGGAGAAAGCTGTAATATGAAGTGAATATGCATTCTTGTGATTTGCTTTTTTTGGATTATTTTATGCCGATGAATTCTTTTTTTTAAAAAAAATGAGTTGTGTTTCAAAGAGCGAGAAATGAGAAAAGATATTTGAAATGGGAAAATGATAAGAGCATTTATTGAAAGAACTTGAGATTTAAAGAAATTGAAAATCTTTATATCTGCCATTGAAGCAAAAGAAAAACGTTATTTACTATTAAGTGGGAATTGAGGGCTGCTGTCTTGAGAAGTCTGCTTTTCATATTATTGCTACAATATCTAAGGCCGGGCTACACTATTCAGGAGTTGACATTTCACTAGAGAACACAGGATACTGACATATTTAGAATGTATCTTCAGTACAGCTTCTTTAGCCTTTGCCCTGGGTTTTGATCTTTCTAGCTACTCTGGCTTATGATTTATAGAGTAAAAAACTGCAAGGGATCTTAGTCACCCTCTAGCCCAGTTCCCCATATTTTACCAATGAGGACAATTAATTGAAAGAAAGCAATTTGCTCAACGTAGAGCTGCAAAAAAAAGTATGCCAAGAGCTGCACCTAAATGTACCTTTTTTAAAATTCAATACTATTCAGTTATAATCTTATTTACTGAGATCTAGTTCAAAGATGGAAGCTCTTTTACATCTAGCCCAAAATATTTATTCTCAATTGTAAAATCAATTTTTAAGTGATAAAATTACCACATTCTAATTGTAGGTAATTCAAATTCTTTAGAAGAATGTAAAATAAAAGGTCTCTCCTGTAGTTATCGGTATACTCTCCATATTTTCTATGCATATACAAATATATAAGGATAAATATAGATATGTGCATATACACACTTTTATATTTTTTTTTTCACTAAAGGGATCTCATTATAACAATTCTTAACAATTTTCTTTAAAACTTTTAAAACTCAGACATCATTTCTTATCAGTACATAAAGATTGACTTCATTGCTTTATTCACACAATGGTTGCATCACATCCTTTTGGGTGGTTTTAAACATATCCACAAATTCTTGTACATTACTCCCATGAAAAGGTATAATCTTATTCCCCTCATCTTGAATATGAGTGTAACTTGGTGAATTGTTTCTAGGGTATAGAATGTGAGACAAATTGAAGTTGTCTTCTTTTATTTTCTTTTCACAAACATCCTTGGATATACAACTTTCCATATTTGTGCATATATTATTTTTGAGAAGTAGGGTGCTGGTCAAAGAGCATCCACATTTAAAATTTTGAAAAATGTCATTTCTAGTGAATGAAGAGTAACATAGTTTTATACATTATTTTTCTGTTTTCTGTTCATGTCTATTGACCATTTCTCTAATGGACTGTTGGTCTTTTTGCTTTTGGTGTAATTAAATGTAAGTACTCTACAGACTGCCTGAATTTGAATTCTGGTCCTGGCACTTTCTAACTGTGCGACCACAAACAAATTATATTTAGGTTATTTATGCCTCAGTTTCTTTACTCATTAAATGGGGATAGTAGTGGTACTTATAGGATTATATTGAGGATTAAGTGAGTTTATGTATATAAAGCACTAGAGTAGTACTGGAGACAGAGAGAGTGCTGTTATGATTTTATGTATTCAAAATTAGCTCCTTATAATATGTATTTAATTTTGTTTATGATATTTTCAGCTACATAGATTTCTTTTTAAAGTTGAGGTTAAGACATATCCAGTAAAGGGGACACATCGTAAGTGTACAAACGTTTAAATCAATATATAAAACATTCCTAGTATCTGAGAGGGTTCTCACATTCTCCTCCCAAGCACTATTCTTCCCAAAATAACCACTATATCAAACCCTATCACCATAAATTAGTTTTAACTGATCTTGGACTCCATATAAGCGGAATTATACAGCATGCTCCTTCTTTCAGTATATGTTTTTCAGATTTATTCAACTTTTAATTTCTTTATCTTTCTTGTATTTATTTCTGCCTTTTATTATTTTCTGCTTCTTAATTTGCTGGGTTTTTTTTCTATTAAGATAATGGCTTTCCATTATATTCATTTAGCTTTTAGATTTCATTCTAAGTATTGTTTTAGTTCCATCTCACAAGTTTTAAAATGTTGAATTTTTGGCCAGGTATGGTCGCTCACACCTGTAATCCCAGCACTTTGGGAGGCCAAGGTGGGTGGATCACCTGAGGTCAGGAGTTCTAGATCAGCCTGGCCAACATGGTGAAACCCTGTCTCTACTAAAAATACAAAAGTTAGCTGGGCGTGGTGGTGAGCACCTGTAATCCCAGCTCCTCAGGTGGCTGAGGCAGGAGAATCACTTGAATCCAGGAGGCAGAGGTTGCAGTGAACCAAGATTATGCTACTGCACTCCAGCCTGGGTGACACAGCGAGACTCTGTCTCAAAAAAAAAAAAAAAAGCACTTTGGGAGGCCGAGGCCGGTAGATCACGAGGTCAGGAGATCGAGACCATCCTGGCTAACACGGTAAAACCCTGCCTCTACTAAAAATACAAAAAATTAGCCAGGCGTGATGGCAGGCGCCTGTAGTCCCAGCTACTCAGGAGGCTGAGGCAGGAGAGTGGCGTGAACCCGGGAGGTGGAGCTTGCAGTGAGCCGAGATGGTGCCACTGCACTCCAGCCTGGGTGACAGAGTGAGACTGCATCTCAAAAAAAAAAAAAAAAAAAAAATTGAATTTCCATGACCAATCAGTTTGAAATACTTTCTAAATTTCATTGTCATTTCTTGTTTGACCACAAGGGATTTATGTTTGTTGTTAAGTTTCTAAACATTTGGTGGTTTTTCGCTACATTCAACCATTCTGTGACCTTGTGTTTAAAATGCACCTTTTAAAATATTGCTTTTTAAAATCCAGTTTGTCATTGCCTTTACATTGGATTATTTTCTACATATTTAATGCAATTTCAATGCATAGTTGGTTTTATCCATCATCTTATTTATTTCTTACATGTCCCATGTGCTTTTCTTTTTCTGTTCTTTCTTTAGGTTTTGATGACAAGCTTAAAAAATTTTTTGCTGAGTGGCTGGCAAGATGGCCCAATAGGAACAGCTCCAGCCTGCAGCTCCCAGTGAGATCAACGCAGAAGGTGGGTGATTTCTGCATTTCCAACTGAGGTACCCGGCTCATCTCACTGGGACTAGTTAGACAGTGGGTGCAGCCCATGGAGAGCAAGCTGAAGCAGGGTGGGGCATCACCTCACCAAGGAAGTACAAGGGGTCGGGGAACTCCCTGCCCTAGCCAAGGGAAGCCGGGAGGGACTGTGCCATGAGGAACGTGTATTCTGGCCCAGATGCTATGCTTTTCATGGTCTTCACAACCTGCAGACCAGGAGAGTCCCTCGGGTGACTACACCACCAGGTCCCTGGGTTTCAAGCACAAAACTGCACGGCTGTTTGGGCAGACACCTAGCTAGCTGCAGAGTTTTTTTTTTTTTTTTTTTTTTTCATACCCTAGTGGTGCCTGGAATGCCAGAGAGACAGAACCATTCACTCCCTGGAAAGGGGGCTGAAACCAGGGAGCCAAGTGGTCTAGCTCAGTTGATCCCACCCCCATGGCGCCCAGCAAGGTAAGATCCACTGGCTTGAAATTCTCGCTGCCAGCACAGTAGTCTGAAGTTGACCTGGGACACTTGAACTTGGTAGGGGGAGGGACATCCATCATTACTGAGGCTTGAGTAGGCGGTTTTCCCATCACAGTGTAAACAAAGCTGCCTGGAATTTCAAACTGGACGGAGCGCACTGCAGCTTGAGAAAGCCGCTGTAGCCAGATTGCCTCTCTAGATTCCTTCTCTCTCTAGGGCATCTCTGAAAGAAAGGCAGAAGCCCCAGTCAGGGGCTTATATATAAAACTCTCATCACCCTGGGACAGAGCACCTGGGGGAAGGGGCAGATGTGGGCACAGCTTCAGCAGACTTGAACGTTCCTTCCCGCCAGCTATAAAGAGAGCAGTGGATCTCCCACCACAGAGCTCTGCTAAGGGACAGACTGCCCCCTCACGTGGGCCTCTGGCCCCCGTGCCTCCTGACTGGGAGATACCTCCTAGCAGGGGTCAACAGACATCTCATACAGGAGAGCTCTGGCTGGCATCTTGGGGGTGCCCCTTTGGGACGAAGCTTCCAGAGGTAGGAACAGGGAGCAATCTTTGCTGTTCTGCAGTCTCTGCTGGTGATACCAGAACAGGGCCTGGAATGGACCTCCAGCAAACTCCAGCAGACCTGCAGCAGAGAGGCCTGACTGTTAGAAGGAAAACTAACAAACAGAAAGGAATAGCATCAACATCAACAAAAAGGACATCCACACAAAAACCCCATCTGAAGATCACCAACATCAAAGACCTAACGAAGATGAATCCACAAAAATGAGGAAAAACCAGTGCAAAAAGGCTGAAAATTCCAAAAACTAGAATGCCTCTTCTCCTCCAAAAGATCACCACTCCTCGCAGGAAGGGAACAAAACTGGATGGAGAAGGAGTTTGATGAATTTTGATATTACCTACCTTCAGAAGGTAGGTAATAACAAACTCTTCTGAGCTAAAGGAGCATGTTCTAACCCAATGTAAGGAAGCTAAGAACCTTGAAAAAAGGTTAGATGAATTGCTAACTAGAATAACCAGTTTAGAGAAGAACATAAATGACCTGATGGAGCTGAAAAACATAGCATGAGAACTTCGTGAAGCATATACAAGTATCAACAGCTGAATCGATCAAGCAGAAGAAAGGCTATCAGAGATTGAAGATCAACTCAATGAAATAAAGTGTGAAGACAAGATTAGAGAAAAAATAAATGAAAAGGAATGAACAAAGCCTCCAAGACATATGGGACTATGTGAAAAGACCAAACCTACATTTGATTGGTGTACCTGAAAGTGATGGGGAGAATGGAACCAAGTTGGAAAACACTCTGCAGGATATTACCCAGGAGAACTTCGTCAACCTAGCAAGGCAGGCCAACACTCAAATTCAGGAAATACAGAGAACACATCAAAACTACTCCTTGAGAAGAGCAACCCCAAGACACGTAATTGTCAGATTCACCAAGGTTGAAATGAAGGAAAAAGTGTTCAGGGCAGCCAGAGAGAAAGGTCAGGTTACCCACAAAGGGAAGCCCATCAGACTAACAGCGGATCTCTCGGCAGAAACTCTACAAGCCAGAAGAGAGTGGGGGCCAATATTCAACATTCTTAAAGAAAAGTATTTTCAACCCAGAATTTCATATCCAGCCAAACGAAGCTTCATAAGTGAAGGAGAAATAAAATCCTCTACAGACAAGCAAATGCTGAGAGATTTTGTCACCACCAGGCCTGCCTGACAAGAGCTCCTGAAGGAAGGACTAATTATGGAAAGGAAAAACTGCTACCAGCCAGTGCAAAAACAAACCAAATTGTAAAGACCATAGACACTATGAAGAAACTGCATCAACTAACGGGCAAAATAACCAGCTAACATCATAATGAAAGGATCAGATTCACACAAAACAGTATTAACCTTAAATGTAAATGAGCTAAATGCCCCAGTTAAAAGACACAGACTGGCAAATTGGATAAAGAGTCAAGACCCATCAGTGTGCCGTATTCAGGAGACCCATCTCACATACAAAGACACACATAGGCTGAAAATAAAGGGATGGAGGAAAATTTATGAAGCAAATGGAAAGAAAAAAAAAAAGCAGGGATTGCAATCCTAGTCTCTGATAAAGCAGACTTGAAACCAACAAAGATCAAAAGAGACAAAGAAGGGCATTACACAATGTAAAGGGATCAATTCAACAAGAAGAGCTAACAGTCCTAAATATATATGCACCCAATACAGGAGCACCCAGATTCATAAAGCAAGTCCTGAAATACCTACAAAGAGACTTAGACTCCCACACAATAACAGTGGGAGACTTTTACACCCCACTGTCAATATTAGACAGATCAACAAGACAGAAAATTAACAAGGATATTCAGGACTTGAACTCAGCTCCAGACCAAGCGGACCTAAGAGACATCTACAGAACTCTTCACCCCAAATCAACAGAATATACATTCTTCTCAGCACCACATTGCACTTATTCTAAAATTGACCACATAATTGGAAGTAAAACACTCCTCACCAAATGCAAAAGAATAAGAATCATAACAAACAGTCTCTCAGACTGTGGGGCAATCAAATTAGATTTCAGGATTAAGAAACTCACTGAGAACCACAAAAGTACTTGGAAACTGAACAACCTGCTCCTGAATGATTACTGGGTAAATAACAAAATTAAGGCAGAAATAAATAAGTTTTTTTGAAACTGATGAGAACAAAGAAACAAAGTACCTGAATCTCAGGGACACAGCTAAAACAGTATTTAGAGAGAAATTTAGAGCACTAAGTGCCCACAGGAGAATGCAGAAATGATCTAAAATTGACACCGTAACATCACAATTAAAAGAACTAGAGAAGCAGGAGCAAAGAAATTCAAAAGCTAGCAGAAGGCAAGAAGTAGCTAAGATCAGAGCAGAACTGAAGGAGATAGAGACATGAAAAACCCTTCAAAAAAATCAGTGAATCCGGAAGCTGTTTTTTTTGAAAAGATTAACAAAGTAGATAGACTGCTAGCCAGACTAATAAAGAAGAAAAGAGAGAAGAATCAAATAGACACACACAAAAAAATGATAAAGGGCAGATCGCCACTGATCCCACAGAAATACAGACTACCTTCAGAGAATACTATAAACACCTCTACGCAAATAAACTAGAAAATCTAGAAGAAATGGCTAAATTCCTGGACACATACACCCTCCCAAGACTAAACCAGGAAGAAGTCAAACCCCTGAATAGACCAATAACAAGTTCTGAAATTGAGGCAGTATTTAACAGCCCAACAACCAAAAAACGCCCAGGACCAGACAGATTCACAGCCGAATTCTACCAGATGTACAAAGAGGAGCTGGTACTATTCCTTCTGAAACTATTCCAAACAATAGAAAAAGGACTCCTCTCTAACTCATTTTATGAGGCCAGCATCATCCTGATAGCAAAACCTGGCAGAGACACAACAAAAAAAGAAAATTTCAGGCTAATATCCCTGATGAACATCGATGCAAAAATCTTCAATAAAATACAGGCAAACCGAATCCAGCAGCACATCAAAAAGCTTATCCATCACGATCAAGTTGGCTTCATTTCTGGGATACAAGGCTGGTTCTACATGCGCAAATCAATAAATGTAATCCATCACATAAACAGAACCAATGATAAAAACCACATGATTATCTCAGTAGATGCAGAAAAGGCCTTCAATCAAATTCAACACCCCTTCATGCTAAAAACTCTCAATAAACTAGGTATTGATGGAACGTATCTCAAAATAATAAGAGCTATTTATGACAAACCCACAGCCAATGTCATACTGAATGGGCAAAAGCTGGAAGCATTCCCTTTGAAAACTGGCACAAGACAAGGATGCCATTTCTCACCACTCCTATTCAACATAGTATTGGAAGTTCTGGCCAGGGCAATCAGGCAAGAGAAAGCAACAAAGTGTACTCGGATAGGAAGAGAGGAAGTCAAATTGTCTCTGTTTGCAAATGGCATGGTTATATATTTGGAAAACCCCATTGTCTCATCCCAAAATCTCCTTAAGCTGATAAGCAACTTCAGCAAAGTCTTGGGATACAAAATTAATGTGCAAAAATCACAAGCATTCCTATACACCAATAACAGACAAACGGAGAGCCAAATCATGAGTGAACTCCCATTTATAATGGCTACAAAGAGAATAAAATACCTAGTAATACAACTTACAAGGGATGTGAAGGACCTCTTCAAGAAGAACTACAAACCACTGCTCAAGGAAATATGAGAGGACACAAATAAATGGAAAATGGAAAAAACATTCTACGCTCATGGATAGGAAGAATCAATATCATGAAAATGGCCATACTTCCCAAAGTAATTTATAGATTTATTGCTATCCCCATCAAGCTACCACTGACTTTCTTCACAGAATTAGAAGAAACTACTTTAAAGTTCATGTGGAACCAAAAAAGATCTCGTATAGCCAAGACAGTCCTAAGCAAAAAGAACAAAGCTGGAGGCATCACAATACCTGACTTTAAACTATACTACAAGGCTACAGTAACCAAAACAGCATGGTACTGGTCCCAAAACAGGTATATAGACTAATGGAACAGAACAGAGGCCTCAGAAAAATACCACCACACATCTACAATTACCTGATCTTTGACAAACCTTACAAAAACAAGAAATGGGGAAAATATTCCCTATTTAATAGATGGTGTTGGGAAAACTGGCTAGCCATATGCAGAAAACTAAAACTGGACCCCTTCCTTACACCTTATACAAAAATTAACTCAAGATGGATTAAAGACTTAAAGCCTAAAACCATAAAAACCCTGGAAGAAAACCTAGGCAATACCATTCAGGACACAGGCATGGGCAAAGACTTTATGACTAAACACCAGAAGCAATGGCAACAAAAGCCAAAATTGACAAATGGGATCTAATTAAACTAAAGAGCTTCTGCACAGCAAAAGAAACTATCATCAGAGTGAACAGGCAACCTACAGAATGGGAGAAAATTTTTGCAATCTATCCATCTGACAAATGGCTAATATCCAGAATCTACAAGGAACTTAAAGAAATTTACAAGAAAGCAACAAACGACCCCATCAAAAACTGGGCAAAGGATATAAACAGGCACTTCTCAAAAGAAGACGTTTATGCAGCCAACAAACATGAAAAAAAGTTCATCATCACTGGTCATTAGAGAAATGCAAATCAAAACCACAATGAGATGCCATCTCAAGCCAGTTAGAATGGCGATCATTAAAAAGTCAGGAAACAGGCCAGGCGCGGTGGCTCACGCCTGTAATCCCAGCACTTTGGGAGGCCGAGGCAGGCAGATCACGAGGTCAGGAGATCGAGACTATCCTGGCTAACACAGTGAAACCTTGTCTCTACTAAAAATTCAAAAAATTAGCCAGGTGTGGTGGTAGGTGCCTATAGTCCCAGCTACTCAGGAGGGAGGTTGAGGCAGGAGAATGGTGTGAACCTGGGAGGTGGAGCTTGCAGTGAGCTGAGATCATGCCACTGCCCTCCAGCCTGGGCGACAGAACAAGACACCGTCTCAAAAAAAAAAAAAAAAAAAGAAGTCAGGAAACAACAGATGCTAGCGAGGAAGTGGAGAAATAGCTTTTACACTGTTGGCGGGAATGTAAATTAGTTCAGCCACTCTGGAAAACAGTTTGGAGATTTCTCAAAGAACTTAAAACAGAGCTAGCATTTGACCCAGCAATCCCATTACTGGGTATATACCCAAAGGATTATTAATCATTCTACTTTAAAGACACATGCACATATATGTTTATTGCAGCACTGTTTTCAATAGCAAAGACTTGGAACCAACCCAAATGCCCATCAATGATAGACTAGATAAAGAAAATGTGACACATATACACCATGGAATACTATGCAGCCATAAAAAAGAATGAGTTCATGTCCTTTGCAGGGACATGGATGAAGCTGGAAACCATCATTCTCAGCAAACTAACACAGGAAAAGAAAAACCAAACACCATGTTTTCTCACTCATAAGTGGGAGTTGAACAATGAGAGAACACATAGACACAGGGAGGGGAACATCACACACCGGGGCCTGTTGGGGGCTGGAGGTCTGGGCGACAGATAGCATTAGGAGAAATACCTAATGTAGATGATGGGTTGATGGGTGCAGCAAACCACGATGGCATGGGTATACCTATGTAAGAAACCTGCACATTCTGCAAATGTATCCCAGAACTTGAAGTATAATAAATTTTTTCTTTGCCATTTGTCTTTTATAGTCATCATTTAATTATGCACTGTTATTATTCATTTAGTTTTTACCCTATAAATTACAGTATACATCTTTCACTTATTACAGTCTACCTTAGGTAAATGTTTTAAATATTTGCTGAAGAAGAAAAGAACCTTAGAACAGTTTAAATGGTTTTTTTTAACCTTCCTTGCCTTTTGTGCTAAGATTGCCATATAATTTGTTCTACTTGATTTTTAACTATGCAAGATGTAGTGATTATTGCCATTTTAAAGCATTAATATCTTTCACATTAATTCACATATTTATAATTTCTGGTGTTTTTCATTCTTCCCATTTTGTGCTTCCATCTGGGATCATTTTCCTTCTGCCTGAAGAACTTCTTTTAGTATTTTTTTTAACTGCAAGTCTGCTTCTGATGAATTTTCTCATATTTTATTTGAAAACATCTTTATCTTAATTTTTGAAGCATATGTAGTTGGGCACAGAATTCCAAGTTGGTGAGCACTTTAAAGATATCACTTAGTTTTAATTGAAAATTCCTCAGTCAACTTATTTTTCCCCTCCTTTGCACATAGTGATACAGACAGAAGGCAGGGAAATACTGGGCAGAGGAGGGTGGTCCCTGGGAGGGCTCCACCCTGAAGCCTGGAACCGTGGCCCAAAGTGAGGACTTTATATCCCAATTTTCCTGCTCAAATGTTGCCTTTTCCAAAACCACCCTGGCCTGCCCTGACCCCCATTCTGTACCCATAAAAACCTCAGGCTCCACTGGCAGAAGAGTGGCAGAGAAGGAGAGAAGAGAAGCAGCAGCCAGATATTGGAGAGAAGCAGCTTAAGAGGGAGGGCTTGGCGGCGGGGACTTCAGAGAAGAGCCCCACGGGGATGGTCACATCCCAGGGGAAGATCACATTCCCACTCCATACCCTTTCCAGCTCCCTTTCCCTCTGAAAGCCAGTTCCATCAGCAATAAACTTCTCTGTATTCATCACCTTCCAATTCGTTTGTGCGACCTGAATCTTCATGGATGCTGAACAATAGCTCCAGAGTCATGAGTGCAGATGCCTGAGCTGTTCAACACTTAAGCCATCCGTGGACAGCAAAGCTAAAAGAGCACTGTATAACACACGCCCTCTGGGGCCCCAGGGGTCATAGGTATCCTCCTAGATGCTGCCTTGGGGCCGCACGGAATTCTGCTCCTGCTGGTGCCCAGAAGCACTCATCACGGCTCCTGCACCCACTCACCTGTGTGCTCCTCCTCCCTCAGGGGGTTAAGAGCTGCAGGCTGAGTAAGCGAGGCATCTCTGTCACGAGGCCCATGAAGGGGTCAGGGAAAATTTCTTGTTTCAATAGTGTGTTTTCTTTCTCTGAAGTTGTTCTCTTTCCATTTGATTTTCAGCAGGCCGGCCATAATGCACGTGGCGTTGTAGAGATTCTTGAAAAATGCACTTATATGTAGTTTGTCAGTGTTGAAGAACTCTAATATCTCTTCTGTGTTATTATTTCTCTCCTCTACTTCTGGGACTCCAAATTATATATAATTAGAAGTTTTCACCGTGCCTGTTTTGCTCTTTTTTCTGTTTTCAGCTTTCCTCGTCTTTCTGCATTTGTATCACTAATTCTGTTTTCTAATTACTACTCCTCTGTTCTTCTCTGTGCACTCTGCTACTAAACCTGTATTTTCAATTCTTAATTTTAGTTGTAGTATTTTTGGATTATAGATTATTCATTTGAATTTTAAAAAATCCAGATCTATGTTAAAATTATTTATATTTTCCTCTATTTTGTTGGATATATTAATCACAGATTTTTTTAAAAGTTCTTATCTCATAACTTCAATATCTAAATCGCCTAGATGCCTCTGTTATTCTTTTTATTATTTTTCTTGGCATTTGGCCATTTCATTCTTTTTTGTTTTAATAGACCTTTGAAATTTATATTGGATTCTGGACATTGTCTGTGAAAAATTATAGAGGTTCTGGATAATGTTACATCCCTCAGATGAGGGTTAAATTTTATTCTGGCAGATCACATTGAACCTGTCAAAGGTCAATTTTAAGCTTGGTAGGGCTGATCTACTGCAGTTTTGCTGTTACTTCTAGGACAGAGGTCAACAAACCTTTCCTGTAAAGGGCCAGATAATAAATACTTCAGAGTTTGTAGGCCATATGTTCTGTGCCATAACTATTAAACTTTGCTGTTATAGCAGAAGAGCAGTGATAGACAATATGTAATTAAATGAGCTTGGCTACATTCCAATAAAACTTTATCGACACTAACATTTAAATTTCATATAAATTTCAAATGTCATGTAATAGTACTTTTACTTTAAAGATTTTAAACCATGTAAAAATATGAAAACTATTCTTAGCTCTAGGGACCTGCAAAAACAAGTGACAAGCCAGATTTGGCCTGCAAGTTGTAGTTGGCTGACAAATGCACTCACATATGTCCCTTACTCCTAAGTTTGGCCCTTTTTGGTTCTTACCTGGAAGAACAGGCTTTGAACAATCCAGTCTCTGTCTCCATGGCTGCCGACTTCTCTGCTCAGCTTTTAGTTTTCTGCATACTGTTTTTCAGTGGGTTTTGAGGGTCTTATCCCGTGCATATGCTACTTAAGAATCAGCCAATGTTTGAAAGGAAATTTGTAGTGGGAATTTGGGCTGATTTCCTGAGGTGCTTTCTTAGGGCTTCACTCCTCAGGTCCCATCGGTTTGGGCAGCTTCATTCTCCAGCATATACCTCCTCAGCCAAGATTGACTGCTGCTTTCTGATTAGGCTCTCTTTCCCACTCTTTCACAGACAGCAAATCAGATACTGTCCTAAAGAGAAGAAGTTGGAATATGAATATTATTTTGTGTGTTCCCCTTCTTTCAAAGACTGTAATTCCTCAAATATTGACTGAAATTTAAAAAATTCCCATTGTCTTCAGATAATTGCTTTATATATTGTGTCAAGCTTTTATTTTTATTTTCAACAAGAGACTTAATCTGCTTGCTGAGAGCAGAAGTCTGTATAGCCATTTTAAATTGATATGTAGTCAAAATTGTCAATATAGATTTATTGATAGCTTCTAGGTTTTATAAGCTTAGGAAGACTGTTTCCTTATTATATTATAAAGATATCCTTCCATGTTTTTCTTCTGTAATTTTTTTCATTTTAAGCTTTGAATTTAAATTAATTTTTACATTTTAATCATTGATCAATCTGAAATTTATTTTGATAAAAGATGTGAAATGGATTTCAGCTTTTTCTTAAATAACTGGCACAATTTTTTGATTTTGATTATTGATTTGAAATGCTATACTTGAAATATATTAAATTCCCAACTGTAAAGGAAAATATTTTAGAACTTTCTACTATGATTCACTGATGTGCGTGCCTGTCAATTTCTGAGCCAAGATTATACTATTTTAGAATATAATTTTTAGATTTACAAAGGCAGGTTAGTAAAAAAAAATAGAATACATTTTATTATCAGGGAAGACTATTCCATTACTCTTCATTTTCAGAAATGTGCTAGTTATTCTTTCATGTGCATTTTTCCAGGTAAACTTTAGACTTAGTTGGTCAATTAAAAAAATGTGGGACAGGCAATGAAAGAAAAAAAATAGTTACGTTGGATTCATAAAAATTAAAAGCTTGTTTGCATCAAAGGACACGATTAACAAAGTTAAAAGGCAAACTTTTAGAGTGGGAGAAAATATTTGCAAATAATGTATTTGTTAACAATTGATATCCAGAATACATATAAACTCCTATAACTCAACATTAAAGAAATTCAAATAAAAAATGAGCAAAGGACTTGAATAGATATTTATCCAAAGGATAATGAACACAAGAAAAGATACTCAGCATTACTATCATTAGAGAAATACAAACGGAAACCACAATGAGATGCTACTTCGTAGTCATCTGGGTAGGTAGCATGAAAAAGCAGAAAATGAGAAGTGTTAGCATGGATGTGGAGTAATTGGAATGCTTTTGCATTGCAGTTGGGAATGTAAAATGATGAAGCCACTGTGGAAAACAATATGGTGATTTCTCAAAAAATTAAACATAGAGTTACCATATGATTCAGCAACTCCACTTCTGGGTGTATACACAAAGGAATTTAAAACATATTTGTAAACCCATATGAATAGTAGCATTATTCACTATAACCAAAAGGCAGAAGTAACACAAGTGTTCATTGATTAATAAATATATAAGCAGTGGTATATATGTATATACATACATATATATAAAATGGAATAGTATTCAGCCTTAAAAAGTAAGGAAATTCTGACATGCAACAACATGAATGAAAGTTGAAGACATTTATGCTAAGTAAAATAAGCCAGTCACAAAGGACAAATATTGCATAACCTTCCTTATGTGAGATATTTATGGTAGTCAAATTTGTAGACAGAAAGTAGAATCTTAATTCCCAGGGTCTGGGGGTTGGGGGGAAGAGAGAATTATGTTTAATGGATATAGAATTTTAGTTTGGCAAGATGAAAATATTCTGGAGATGGATAGTGGTGATGGTTGTACAGCAATGTGAATGTACTTAATGCCTCTGAATTGCATACTTAAAAATGGTTAAAATGGTAAGTTCATATTGCATATATTTTGCCATAATAATAAATGTTTCTTAGATAAAAAAAGAAATGGGAACCTATTTGTAGTTTTTGTTGTGATTGATGACATTGACAACTTTGTAATACTCTGTCTTACCAATAATAAGATGTATCCTTCTATTATTCATTTTTATGTTTCTCAGTAGAGACTTGAGTATTTCTTCACAAAGGTTCTGATTATATCTTGTTTCTCCTAGATTTTCATTTGTCGTTCCTGTTATACATTTAAGTGACTTTTTTCTTTCATTTTCTTGTTTGATTCTTGTTTGAATAGAAAATAGTGTTTGATTATTTCATATGATTTTTTAACCACGCATTTTTTTCTACCATATTTTCTTAAGTACTCTGCTAATTCTCTCAAACAAGCATTTATTGAGAACAATTTGAGTATAGAGAAACATTAGAATATTCTTGCCCTCAAGAATCTAGTCTAGCTGGGAATTAAGGTCTACCTGGGAAAGAAAAAAAAGTAACATAAAATGAAATAAGGCTCTTTAAAAAAAAACAAAAAAACCTAGAGGACAGCCTATCTTCCAGACATTTGTTTTTTGAGGAAAATAAACCTTATGAAAACCAAGTCATGTCACCCCACTAAATTAATACAAGCTCTAAAATGGCATGCTAACCTTTATGAGATACTTTCTATTTCACATTATATTTTATTGTAATTGTAGCAGAAAAATTAATGTAGGAAGTCATTTATGTCAGGTATGGTCATATGAGGCTCCTGGGGATGACCTTGGTGTTAACTGCCTACGATGTGGGCAATACTGCATAGGCCGAGGCTGCAGATTCCTGTCCATCACTGTTCTTGAGTAGTTCCAGTGTTGGTCTGTGAATGCTGATCAGGGTGTGGCCTTCATATTAGGTGCAGTGCATCTCATTCTTGAGTGTGCATTTCAATTGCACTGAAAACTTATAAAAAAGCTGTTCCCTGTGCCTGGCAAGGAGTTCCTGACTCAGACCTGTTGTGCGGCTGAGATATCTGTGCTTTAACCGTGCACCCAGGTAATTCTGATGTAGGTGGGCCAGAGAGCGCGCTTTGGGAAATATTGCTCTTGTATAGTAACATCTTCTACTATCGATGCCAAACTGCCTAGTAGGCACTGTAAGATTTTTCTTTTCACATAAAATCTTTTCAATGTCTAATGTCATGTTCCATCCCCTGCTATGTGACTCCTCGCCACATTGGACCCTTTCTGATGGTCGTGCACGTGCTGATTCCTGCCATCTTTCTCAGTCTGGCTCCATTTTTCTGCCTCTACTATTATCCTTAGAAATTCCTTCGCCCCTTACTGTTCTGCCCAGCACAACTTATTTTCCCTGGTTGCAATGGCCTGGCTCTCCAGCAGTCTCCAGTGCCCCTGCCATGCGACATTACCACCTCTGCTGTTTCAGCTGAGTTCAAGCTATGGAAACCCTTTCAACATTTTGAGTTCGGTCCTCTCCAACTGCCACCACATTCAATTGCTCTTTACTCCAAAACCTCCATATTCCACATGCCAAGAAACCCACAGTAGCAATATTTCTCTCCATACACAACTGTGTTAATTTTTATAGGCACATTGTAGCACATTTTCAATCTGGTCATTTATCTCCATGTCCAGCTGTTCTTCACTTCCAAATTCACATTAGTGTATTAGTAAATCTTTCATATGTTAGTCTACACATCAAAGAACCCAGTATTACCCCTCTTTTCCCAATTCAATTTATGTAAATTTTATAAACACATTGATAGGTTAAAATTTTAAATATAAATTTCCCAATAAACATACCTCCTCTGGTCACTCTAGTGAGTTTATATGTTTATAAAATTGAATTATAACACAGTAATTTTGGTTGTCCAGTATATTTATAAAAATGGATCCAGACTGGGAAACATAGCAAGACTCCATCTTGCCTTCTAAAAAAAAAAAAAAAAAGGCAAGACGTCTGTTCATCCCCTATAAGTGTATATCCTGCCCAACTCTTAATTTCTGGGCTCCTCATAATGAAAAGTTTATATAGAGTTGCCTGGACCTATGTAACATTTCGTATGGCCATTGACTCCATTTATGGTGAAATCTGAATCAGCAATTCTCGTGGATGTCCACTCTTGTTTCCCTGGGCTTTGGGTAGGGATTCACAATCTATGCCAGCCAAGAATTTTTTCTGACCACTTCCCTCTTTCCACATATTCCTGATACCTCCAGCTCAATTCCTATTCCCACTTTTTTCTTATATTTCGTGAATATCTGACATTCTTAAAGCAGTCTTAATGTTGGGGCTGGAGGATGTGAAAATGGTCTGCATGTGAATGTTAAATAACAAGAGCATTTGGGCAGAAAGCAATTCGTTACCATCATTGTGCATTCTGTAACTCAGCTCTATATGAACAAGGGGGTTAAGCATATCGCCCCCTGTCCCACAGCTTCCACATGTGAAGACTGTCTGCCGCTTTTCACAACTCTTCAGGCACCCTATTGGAAACTATGCTTTTCTAAAGGACCCCCGGGCAAGCTTAGCCTTTTACTGTTTTAGAGAAATCTAAAGTGGATACATGAAAAGTGGCACAGTTGCCAACTATAATGAGATAAGGGCCCATTATTACTCCACCTCCCTCCCTAGGACAGTGACGAGGGCCATTGGACTTTTCCATATTCTGCATAAATGCCTTTTTCTTCTTAGGAAAGTCAGCAATCCGTAGTTTCTCTCTTCCCTTTCATTTACAAATCAGCATTCAATGTACCCCAGGGTACAAGGATCTAGGGCTTGGGATGCTCTTTTTAAAAGTTTTCCAATCCATGTCCTGCATTTGTCAAGGGCAGTCCTAAGAAATAGCACGAGTACTTGGCTTTGGAGCAAGGTTTCTCAAACTCGGCAATACTGACATTTTGAACCAGATGATTCTTTGTTGTGGAAGACTGTTGTGTGTATTGTAGAATGTTCAGCAGCATCTCTGACCTCTACCCACTAGATTTCAGAAATACTCCCAACCCTGTCCTCCCACGTGAAAACCAAAGATGTGACCAGACATTGTTAAACGTCCCTGAGACTTAAAATTGTCCTGGTTGAGACCACTACCTTAGAGTTACATTAAGCAATGTAATTCCCATGATTATTTCTTTTTAAAAAAGATACACATATCTTTTAAAATACGTACTTTAATACACATTTTAAATATACATATATGTTTAAAATCTTTGATATGTTTTTAAGACAATTTATGAGACTTTAGAGTTTACTCTTGGTCTAACTAGAGTTTACTCTTGGTCTAACAGTTAATATAAAAAGACATTCATGAACTTCCCAAAAGCTAAACAAAGTGCTCCATGCAAATAAGCTGTCATCTGAGTTTATTAGAACCGAGGGCCTAGCCTGCACCACAGATACTTAATGTTAAGTACCTTTCAGCAATATTTTTATTAAACCAGGAAGTTCAGACTATGAATTAATCTTTGTGGGAAAATAAAATAAGCCATTTCTCTAAGCAAAAACTGTTTTTAAAAAATATATCTAATTTTTAAAGCTTTCATTTGGTATTTGTCTGATGCCATGCCCACACAGTATCTGTATGTTCAATAAATATCTGATGAATGATAAACTAGTGTGTGGGGGGACTTTTGTTTGGTTCCTAAAGTATGTTCTCTCTAGCACTGAAACTCAAAATGTGATCAGCAGACCTGCAATACTGTCTTCACTGTGCAGATTGTTAGAAATGCAGACTCTTAGCTCTCATCCTTGACCTACTGGGTCAGATTATGATTGCAGTAATATACCCAGGTAATTTTTTTTGCAGATTAAACTTGTTAAGCACTGTCTCAGAACACTATTTCCAGAGATTATTAAAAGATAAATTCTAAGAAAGGATTCTGTAAAAAATAAATTCAGCAAACAGTGGGTTAAGTATAGTTATTTATGTTCTTAATACAGCAGGACCACTCAAATCACATCCATATATAAATTCTGACTCTCCAAGTTGGGATGTGGTAGATGTTAAGCAGTGTTTTCCAAACTTATTAATGACGATACTTTTTTTTTTTTTTGAGACAGAGTCTCACTTTGTTGCCCAGGCTGGAGTGCAGTGGTGGGATACAGCTCACTGCAGCCTCAACCTCCCACGCTCAAGTGATCCTCCCAGGCTCAAGCAATCTTCCCACCTCAGTCCCCCAAGTATATGGGCACAGGTGTGCTCCACCACACCCGGCTGATTTTTGTATTTTTGTAGGGATGGGGTTTTGCCATGTTGCTTAGGCTAGTCTTGAACTCCTGAGCCTCAAGCGATTGGCTTGTCTCAGCCTCTCAAAGTGCTGGGATTACAGCATGAGCCACCATGCCCAGCCTGAGACCTTTTTTTCATAGGTGTCACTTGGAAAATGTCGCTGTTATGTGATACGGGCATTCATCTCATAAATGGCAACTGGATCTTAAATAAATAAATTAATCAGGTAGCTAATTTTGGTTAATGATTACTAATAATATGCTGAGTGGAAGAACAAAACACAGTTTCCAGAGAAGAAAAAAACTAATAATGATAATAACCCAAAAGAAAAAACAAAACAAAAAAACATAATCCCTTGGAGTACTAACTACTTGAATTAAAAACTATTAACAAAATAAAATAAAGCAACAAATGTAAAAAGTAGTAGTTGGTTCATTGCAGTTGACACACAAGCAACATTTTGGAATGAAATTTTCTGAATTCAGTTTCAACATATTTTTGTATAAAAGTAGTTCTTACTGTTGTTGATATTTTGAGTATTAGAAAGTTCAGACAAAATTAATAATTAAAAAATAAGCGTCTGTATGCTGAATTAAAATATTACATTTGTTATTAGAAATATGTGTAATACATAATAGTATGAAAAAGCAATTATATATTCTTACTATTCAGAGAGAAGCACAGTTGCCATTTTATTTCCTATTAGCCCTTTTTTTGTACATTATACATACAAAATGTTAGAAAAGCATATTCTATTTTGCATCTTACTTTTTTCATTTAGCATTATATCATGAACATTTTCTAAGGTATTAAAAATTGTTTGAAAACATAATTTTTAAAGAATAAATACATTTCATTATATGGATTTGCCATTATTTAAAATTCTTCTTTTAGTGGCAGGCATGTAGGCTGTTTATGTAATTTTATTCTTATAAATAATGCTGTGATAAAAACTCTTGCTTGGGTAAAATTCTAATTATTTTCTTAGAATAGATTTCTAAAAATTGAATTGTTGCTTCAAAGAGAACAAACACTTTAAAGGACAAAGTAAAAAATAAGACATTTTAAAGATCATGTTCTTCGTTTGTATTTGCACTTCAAAAATACATCTTCAATTTTATTATTTAAAGTGAAAATATAATTTGACCTATAAGCATTGCCTTTATGCTTACTGGAAGAGCACTTTTATAATGGAATTATTTTGTGTGTTACATTCATATTCTTTACTGTTCTTAGAGAAACCTGACTATTCATTTCATAGCAGGAGTACCTGGACTTGGGGTTGACTTCATCATGTTAACCAGCTGATCAAATGACATTTTATAATTCACTTTCAGTTGATAGATATATAATTATTCAAAAAGAAGGGGAAAAGAGTGGTTTAGAATCCATCAAAACCTATACCTCTTCAGTGAAATCTTCAAAAATTTCCCAGGAGTCTCTTAATTTCATATTACATCTCTGGATTATCTCTAGTGTAAATGATGTGAGTTTTCTTACCATTCTTCAGTCACACCATTTTTGTATAAAAAGAGATTTAGATGGGAGTCAGTTCCAAGATGGCCAGATAGGAACAGCTCCAGTCTGCAGTTCGCAGCATGATCAAAGCAAAAGACAGGTGATTTCTGCATTTCCAACTGAGGTACCTGGTTCATCTCACTGGGACTGGTTGGAAAGTGGGTGCAGCCCACAGAGGGTGTGCTGAAGCAGGGCGGGGCATTGCCTCACCCGGGAGGTGCAAGGGGTTGGGGGATTTCCCTTTCCTAGCCAAGGGAAGCAGTGACAGACTGTACTGGGAAAATCAGGACGCTGCCACGTAAACACTGCATTTTTCCAATGGTCTGAGCAAACCACACGCCAGGAGATTATATCCCACGCCTGGCTCAGTGGGTCCCACGCCCACGGAGCCTTGCTCACTGCTAGTCCGAGATCGAACAGCAAGGTGTCAAGCCTGGCTGCAGAAGGGGCGTCCACCATTGCGGAGGCTTGAGTAGGTAAACAAAGCAGCCAGGAAGCTCAAACTGGGTGGAGCACACTGCAGCTCAATGAGGCCCGCCTGCCTCTGTAGACTGCAACTCAAGGGGCAGGGCATAGCTGAACAAAGATAGCAGAAACTTCTGCAGACTTAAACGTCCCTGTCTGACAGCTCTGAAGGGAGCAGTGGTTCTCCAGCATGGTGTTTGAGCTCTGAGAATGGACAGACTGCCTCCTCAAGTGGGTCCCTGCCCCTATGTAGTCTAACTTGGAGACATCTCTCAGTAGGGTACGCCTGACACCTCATACAGCTGGGTGCCCCTCTGAGACGAAGCTTCCAGAAGAAGGATCAGACAGCAATATTTGCTGTTCTGCAATATTTGCTGTTCTGCAGCCTCTGCTGGTGATACCCAGGCAAACAGGGTCTGGAGTGGACCTCCAGCAAACTCCAACAGACCTGCAGCTGAGGGACCTGACTGTTAGAAGGAAAACTAACAAACAGAAAGGAATAGCATCAACATCAGTAAAAAGGACATCCACACCAAAACCCCATCTGTAGGTCACCATCATCAAAGACCAAAGGTAGATAAAACCACAAAGGTGGGGAGAAACCAGAGCAGAAAAGCTGAAAATTCTAATAACCAGAGCTCTCCTTCTCCTTCAAAGGATCACAGCTCCTTGCCAGAAACGGAGCAAAGCAGGACGGAGAATGACTTTGATGAGTTGACAGAAGTAGGCTTCAGAAAATCGGTAATAACAAATTTCTCCGAGCTAAAGGAGGATGTTCGAACCCATTGCAAGGAAACTAAAAACCTTGAAGAAAGATTAGATGAATGGCTAACTAGAATAAACAGTGTAGAGAAGACCATAAATGACCTAACAGAGATGAAAACCATGGCACAAGAACTACGCGACACATGCACAAGCTTCAGTAGCCGATTTGATCAAGTGGAAGAAAGAGTATCAGTGATTGAAGATCAAATTAATGAAAAGAAGTGAGAAGAGAAGTTTGGAGAAAAAAGAGTAAAAAGAAATGAACAAAGCCTCCAAGAAATATGGGACTATGTGAAAAGACCAAATCTACATTTGACTGGTGTACCTGAAAGTGACAGGGAGAATGGAACCAAGCTGGAAAACACTCTTCAGGATATTATCCAGGAGAACTTCCCCAACCTAGCAAGGCAGGCCAACATTCAGATGCAGGAAATTCAGAGAACATGACAAAGATAATCTTTGAGAAGAGCAACTCCAAGACATATAATTGTCAGATTCACCAAGGTTGAAATGAAGGAAAAAATGCTAAAGGCAGCCAGAGAGAAAGGTCAGGTTACCCACAAAGGGAAGCCCATCAAACTAACAGTGGATCCCTTGGCAGAAACCCTACAAGCCAGAAGAGAGTGGGGGCCAATATTAAACATTCTTAAAGAAAAGTATTTTCAACCCAGAATTTCATATCCAGCCAAACTAAGCTTCATAAGTGAAGGAGAAATAAAATCCTCTACAGACAAGCAAATGCTGAGAGATTTTGTCACCACCAGGCCTGCCTTACAAGAGCTCCTGAAGGAAGCACTAAACATGGAAAGGAAAAACCGGTACCAGCCACTGCAAAAACATGCCAAATTGTAAAGACCATTGATGCTAGGAAGGAACTGCATCAACTAATGGACAAAATAACCAGCTAACATCATAACGACAGGATCAAATTCACACATAACAGTATTAACCTTAAATGTAAATGGGCTAAATGCCCCAGTTAAAAGACACAGACTGGCAAATTGGATAACGAGTTAAGACCCATCAGTGTGCTGTATTCAGGAGTCCCATCTCACGTGCAGAGACACACTTAGGCTCAAAATAAAGGGATGGAGGAAGATCGACGAAGCAAACGGAAAGCAAAAAAAAAGGAGGGGTTGCAATCTTAGTCTCTGATAAAACAGACTTTTAACCAACAAAGATCAAAAGAGAGAAAGAAGGCCATTACATAATGGTAAAGGGATCAAATCAACAGGAAGAGCTAACTATCCTAAATCTATATGCACCCAATATAGGAGCACCCAGATTCATAAAACAAGTCCTTAGAGACCTACAAAGAGACTTAGACTCCCACAGAAATATCATGGGAGACTTTAACACCCCACTGTCAATATTAGATATATCAATGAGACAGAAGGTTAACAAGGATATCCAGGACTTGAACACAGCTCTGCACCAAGAAGACCTAATAGACATCTACAGACCTCTCCACCCCAAATCAACAGAATATACATTCTTCTCAGCACCACATCACACTTACTCCAAAACTGACCACATAGTTGGAATTAAAGCACTCCTCAGCAAATGTAAAAGAAGAGAAATCACAACAAAGTGTCTCTCAGACCACAGTGCAATCAAACTATAACTCAGGATTAAGAAACTCACTCAAAACTGCACAACTACATGAAAACTAAACAACCTGCTCCTGAATGACTACTGGGTACATAACAAAATGAAGGCAGAAATAAAGATGTTCTTTGAAACCAGTGAGAACAAAGACACAATGTACCAGAATCTCTTGGACACATTTAAAGCAGTGTGTAGAGGGAAATTTATAGCACTAAATGCCCACAAGAGAAAGCAAGAAAGATCTAATTTCGACATTTTGACACCCTAACATCACAATTAAAAGAACTAGAGAAACAAGAGCAAACAAATTCAAAAGCTAGAAGAAGGCAAGAAATAACTAAGACCAGAGCAGAACTGAAGGAGATAGAGATGCAAAAAACCCTTCAAAAAATCAATGAATCCAGGAGCTGGTTTTTTGAAAAGATCAACAAAATTGATAGACTGCTAGCTAGACTAATAAAGAGGAAAAGAGAGAAGAATCAAATAGATGCAATAAAAAATGATAAAGGGGATGTCACCACTGATCCCACAGAAATACAAACTACCATCAGAGAACAGTATAAACACCTCTATGCAAATAAACTAGAAAATCTAGAAGAAATGGATAAATTCCTGGACACATACACCCTCCCAAGACTAAACCAGGAAGAAGTTGAATTGATGAGTAGACCAATAACAGGCTCTGAAATTGAGGCAATAATTAATAGCCTACCAACCAAAAAAAGTCCAGGACCAGATGGATTCACAGCTGAATTCTACCAGAGGTACAAAGAGCAGTAGATGGATTCACAGCTGAATTCTACCAGAGGTACAAATAGCAGCTGGTACCATTCCTTCTGAAACTATCCCAAGCAATAGAAAAAGAGGGTATTCTTCCTAACTCATTTTATGAGGCCAGCAACATCCTAATACCAAAGCCGGGCAGAGACACAACAAAAAAAGATAATTTTAGACCAATATCCCTGATGAACATCAATGTGAAAATCTTCAGTAAAATACTGGCAAATTGAATCCAGCAGCACATCAAAAAGCTTATCCACCAAGATCCAGTTGGCTTCATCCCTGGGATGCAAGGCTGGTTCAACATACGCAAATCAATAAACGTAATCCATCCCATAAACAGAACCAAAGACAAAAACCACATGATTCTCTCAATAGATGCAGAAAAGGCCTTTGACGAAATTCAACAGCGCTTCATGCTAAAAACTCTCAATAAACTAGGTATTGATGGAATGTATCTCAAAATAATAAGACCTATTTATGACAAAGCCACAGCCAGTATCATACTGAATGGGCAAAAACTGGAAGCATTCTCTTTGAAAACTGGCACAAGACCGGGATGCCCACTCTCACCACTCCTATTCCACATAGTGTTGGAAGTTCTGGCCAGGGCAATTAGGCAAGAGAAAGAATAAAGGTATATTCAGTTAGGAAAAGAGGAAGTCGAATTGTCCCTGTTTACAGATGACATGATTGTATGTTTAGAAAACCCCATCATCTTAGCCCAAAATCTCCTTAAGCTGATCAGCAACTTCTCAGCAAAGTCTCAGGATACAAATCAATGTGCAAAAATCACAAGCAGTCTTATACACCAATAATAGAAAAACAGAGAGCCAAATCATGAGTGAACTCACATTCACAATTGCTACAAAGAGAATAAAATACCTAGGTATCCAACTTACAAGGGATGTGAAGGACCTCTTTAAGGAGAACTACAAACCACTGCTCAACGAAATAAAAGAGGACACAAACAAATGGAAGAATAGTCCATGCTCATGGATAGGAAGAATCAATATCGTGAAAATGGCCATACTGCCCAAAGTAATTTATAGATTCAATGCCATCCCCATCAAGCTACCAATGACTTTCTTCACAGAATTGGAAAAAACTACTTTAAAGTTCATATGCAACCAAAAAAGAGCCCACATTGCCAAGACAGTCCTAAGCCAAAAGAGCAAAGCTGGTGGCATCACACTACCTGACTTCAAACTATACTACAAGGGTACAGTAACCAAAACAGCATGGTACTGGTACCAAAACAGAGATATAGACCAATGGAACAGAACAGTTGTGAAATAACACCACACATCTACAACCATTTGATTTTTGACAAACTTGACAAAAACAAGAAACGGGGAAAAGATTCCCTCTTTAATAAATGGTGCTGGGAAAATTGGCTAGCCATATGTAGAAAGCTGAAACTGGATCCCTTCCTTACACCTTATACAAAAATTAATTCAAGATGGATTAAAGACTTACGTGTTAGACCTAAAACCATAAAAACCCTAGAAGAAAACCTAGGCAATACCATTCAGGACATAGGCATGGGCAAGGACTTCATGACTAAAACACCAAAAGTAATGGCAACAAAAGCCAAAATTGACAAATGGGATCTAATTAAACTAAAGAGCTTCTGCGCAGCAAAAGAAACTACCATCAGAGTGAACAGGCAACCTACAGAATGGGAGACAATTTTTGCAGTCTACTCATCTGACAAAGGGCTAATATCCAGAATCTACAATGAACTCCAACAAATTTACAAGAAAAAAACAACCCCTTCAAAAAGTGGGCAAAGGATATGAACAGACACTTTTCAAAAGAAGACATTTATGCAGCCAACAGACACATGAAAAAATGCTCATTATCACTGGTCCTCAGAGAAATGCAAATCAAAACCACAATGAGATACCATCTCCCACCAGTTAGAATGGCGATCATTAAAAAGTCAGGAAACAACAGGTGCTGGAGAGGATGTGGAGAAATAGGAATGCTTTTACACTGTTGGTGGGAGTGTAACCTAGTTCAACCATTGTGGAAGACAGTGTGGCGATTCCTCAGGGATCTAGAACTAGAAATACCATTTGACCCAGCGATCCCATTACTTGGTATATACCCAAAGGATTATAAATCATGCTACTATAAAGACACAGGCACATGTATATTTATTGAGGCACTGTTAACAATAGCAAAGACTTGGAACCAACCCAAATGTCCATCAATGATAGACTGGATGAAGAAAATGTGGCACATATACACCATGGAATACTATGCAGCCATTAAAAAGGATGAGTTCATGTCCTTTGTAGCAACATGGATGCAGCTGGAAAGTGTCATTCTGAGTAAATTATTGCAAGGACAGAAAACCAAACACCGCATATTCTCACTCATAGGTGGGAATTGAACAATGAGAACACTTGGACACAGGGCCGGGGACCTCACACACCAGGGTCTGTCGTGGGGTGAGGGGATGCGGGAGGGATAGCATTAGGAGAAATACCTAATGCAAATGAGAAGTTAATGTTTGCAGCAAACCAACACGGCACATGTACACATATGTAACAAACCTGCACATTGTGCACATGTAGCCTAGAACTTGAAGTATAATAATAATAAAAGGGATTTAGATGGAGAACAATTCTATGATTTAATATTCTGAATGAATAAAGTTAAAGGTATGAGTCTACCTGTATACATGAGAATTGCTTATATACATTCATAAACAAAAATGCCAGATATAAATAGTGGATTCTGTCATAATCGTTTATATTTTTTTAACTTGATTATATAAATGTGTCTAAGAAAGTTACATATTTAGGTGTAGGGTTCTTGTCTGCACAGAAGAAATTTCATTTGCCCCTAACAGGCTATTTGCTTTCAGTTGCAAGGTATAAGAGTAGATGATTAGGATCATGATGTTTCAGGTTTACTCTCTCTTTTGGGGTATTATTTCTGATAGCTTAAGTTAGAACAGCAGGTGAAGAACAAATGTGTCAAAAATCATTTTTGGAAGCTGTTTTGTTATACATCTTTAAGAGGCAAAGAACCCATAGAACACCTTACAGAGAAGTTAGCATATAGTAGGTACTTAACATTTGATTTTGATTTTTCTTCCTATGGCTACGTACTGGATATAAAGACAGACATAGGCAGTTGATGGATTTCTTATGCATTGGATAATGTGCCAATGTTAATTTAAAAGGCTAGATTGGTGTAAATCTGTAAAGTTCAGAAAGTATGAATTTGCGATTCTTGCCCTTGGCTTTGTTGCAGTTTAATTAAATTCCTAACCTACGTAGTGGGTTTCTGTAGCTACAGTTCTGTGTCGACTGTTTGTTAGAAATGGCTGTTTCAGAATATACTAACTTTTAATTCTAAGAAATCCCAGATGCATTGAAATTTAATTTGCCCTAACTAATAAAGAAAAACATCTAAGGCTATTATAAATTATCTACAGTTTAATTTTTAAAACTGATGTAATAATGTTAACAGAAAATTTATTCAAATTTGTATCCACTCTCCTCGGTTCTATTGCCTTTGCACAAAATCTTGCCCTAGTAATTTCAGGTATCCTAGAAATAAAAGGGATGAATAACCTCAGCATCGTCATTCCCTTTATATCACAACTTTTTAACATATTCTGTTGTATTTTTGTACATGGATATGGCAAAGGTATATGTACCCGTTGATCAAGGAATCGATTATTTATGACAATCTTCAAAAACCTTCAATTTTCTTGGAAGGTGATAGATTACTTGGCTAGCTCGAATGTAGAATAATTTCTTTTATTATTTCCTTTTTGAAACAGGATCTCACAGATTTTAGACATGGTCTCACTCTGGTGCCCAGGCTGGAGTGCAGTGGCACAATCCTGGCTCACTGCAGACTCCACCTCCTAGGCTCAAGCAATCCTCCCATCTCAGCCTCCTGAGTTGCTAGGACTACAGGTGTTCATCGCCATGCCCAGCTAACTTTTTTGATTTTATTATTATTTTTTTTGGAGAGATGAGGTCTCACTATGTTGTTCAAGCTAGTCTCAAATTCCTGGCTTCAAGCTACCCCCTCCTGTCTAGGCCTACCAAAGCCCTGGGACTACAGACATGAGCTACTGCATCTGGCCAAAAGTAGAATAATTTCTAATAAAATTATCTAAAATACCTAAAGCTGGTATATTTCAACATAAAACTGTATGTTTTAGGTTGCTAATAACAGAAATCTTGGGAATTTTTAAAAACATTTTTGTCTTAATAGTCCCATTAACTGACACCAGTCATTGACAATGAAGTTACCTGTATAAACATTTGGGTGTGATATTTAGGTAATGAAGCACTAGTGTTTACATGACACCATTTTAACTGACTTTGCTGCTGTTTATTTACTTCCTAGTGGAGGTGGTAGTGCCATTTTATTCATCATATATTTTCTATAAGTGCATATGTTCTCCCCCCTCCTTTCCATGCCCCTCTACATTTCTCCTGCTGATGACATTCATATCTAGAACACTTCTGCCTACAATGGTCATGGCTTTCCTTTAGAACTGGCTCAGTTCTTCAGATTTTGATTTCTTATACAATATTCGTTCAACATGTTAACTTTATCAGAGACTTTCTGAGAAAATGTTTCCAACTATCCAGAGATGGCTGGGTGGGGGAAATTTGTATCTGTTTCTGTTGTAATCCTTGAAGAATATACACCTTGATGGCTAGGACTTGCTTTCACTCGTGTGGATCTTTGATCCCTGGCACATAGAGCTCAGTATATAGTGTGCTCAATAAATTTGGCATTCCTGCTATTGCTTAAACATGCAAGCACATTTCCAGCTCAGGGCCTGTGCTCTTGAAATTCTCTCTTCTTAAAATGTTTTATTCTTAAGTATTCTCATGGCTCATATCCTCACTTTATTCAGGTTTCTGCTAAAATGTCGTCTCCCCAGAGGGGCCTGTTCTAAACGACTAAACCTTAAAATCGTCGATAGGATGCACTCACACATAACTCACACAATCTCCCTTGCTTCTTTTTTTTTTTTTCCTCGATAGGATTTACCATTATCTTAAAAATTTATTTGTTCACTTATAGTCTCCCTCATTAGAATGTAAGCCATCACAGGGACAGGAACTTTGTATATTGTCAATATGTAGAACAAACCTGGAATATTGTAGCCATTTGATAAATATTAGTTAAATGAATGATTAAATTATTTGATTAATCTCTGCTCTCCTCCAAAACATACACACACACGCATAGATTCAACTATACATTTAATGAAAATTAAGGACGTCATCTTTCTTATTTATCATTGCATTCTAGCAGTCAGTGCTTAAAAATATTTGTTGAATGTCTAAATGAGGAAGTGTTATGTGTGTGACTATCAGTTGCTTTGCCGGCATGTTTTGTGCACTGTTTGTCATTGACAGCCTGTCTGATAGTTTCTTTTAGTCTTTACTATGTTAAAAGAAAATAATTCCCTTACCTTGTATTTATTTTTGTGTTTATATTTGACATAAAATTTTAGAGAGTAGGAACTTTGCAGGAGAGCCACACTTGATTCTCTGGGAGAATTTAATGAGTAATTTAGTTCACATTTTCTTCCTCTGCTTTATTAGACCTTGAAAATGATAATGAGATTTAACTTCGAATTACAGTTTATGTACAGCCCTCAAATCTCAGCCCCTAATCTCTCCACCCAGCCTTATCCCCTCTCCCAGTCTGGTGCAAATTTGGATTCTTACAAAACGTTATTTGCTAGAGGCAAGTAGCCCAGTTTTCCGCTCCTTGGACCCTTCTCCAATGCATCTATTTCCAGGGTCGGCTGCTGGAGGGTGAATAATTCTCTGTCATAATTCAAAGAACAGGAAGCCCTGAAGCAATCCAGGTGGCTAAAGAGGCACATGAAAAGAGACAATATAGTAGAATAAAGAAGAGGAAAGTCCATGAATTTTTTACTTACCGTGCTTTTTTCTTATTCCCAATTCTCTACTTAGCATCCTACGACTGCATTTTAAATAATATTGAGGTTTTGGGTGACTACAAACTAAAATTGTAAACTTTTCCAAACTGAGATTTTCTACTGTACTCTTGACTATTGTTATTCAAATTTAACAATTTTCAGGTAGATAGGTGCAGCGAACCACCATGGCACACATTTACCTATGTAACAAATCTGCACACATCCTGCACATGTACCCTAAAACTTAAAATAAAAATAAATAGGTCAGAAAAAAATAAAACACTGTTCTTTTTTTCCTTTCCTTTTTTTTTTTTTTGAGACGGAGTTTCGCTCTGTCGCTCAGGCTGGAGTGCAGTGGCGCGATCTCGGTTCTCTGCAAGCTCCATCTCCCGGGTTCACGCCATTCTCCAGTCTCAGCCTCCTGAGTAGCTGGGAATACAGGCGCCACTACCACGCCCGGCTAATTTTTTGTATTTTTAGTAGAGACGGGGTTTCACCGTGTTAGCCAGGATGGTCTTGATCTCCTGACCTCGTGATCTGCCCACCTCGACCTCCCAAAGTGCTGGGATTACAGGCGTGAGCCACCGCGCCTGGCAACAATTTTCAATTGTGTATACTTGTACCCTTACGATCTTAGGTGTAAATATTTCCCTCAGCAAACCTCTCCTAAATAAGGGTCTGTGGGGACAATATATTGGAGGGGAGGAAGAGAATAGTAAGTACATCTAATTGGTCTGAAATAGTAACTATCATTCTGAAAAAATGAACAATATATTCCTTTATTAGCCAAATTAGACATGTTCAGTTAGTGACCTATCATATTTGCCAATTTGAAGATGATGTTCTAATGTTCTATAAAACTTTTTCAAAGTTAAGGACTAAATATTATAGACCTCATAAAAATAGCCATATTTAATCTCTAATATAGCTAATATATTTACAGTCAACCTAAAGGTTCTTATTATGTTTATGTCAGATAATTTCAAAAACCTGACTAGTTTGTTAATGACAATTTTAAAGTTAGGTGTTTGTAATGAAGACACAGCTTTTATAATACAGGTCATAGATTAATACTTAAACACATCTATCCTACTTAATGTGTGAAATATAAATAATAGTAGAAAAAGACCCAGAATATGTTAATGTTAGTGTCTTTCTCCATGACTAAAAACTTATCTGAGTTACTGAAAGTCATACAGAATTTTCTTGAGAATTTTGAGACTTTTCTCATTAGTACATTCTTTGATTTTTCTTAGAAAAAGCCATTTTTTGAATGCCTCCAACAGAATGGCTTGGGCTCTAATAACCAGGTGTATGAAATATGCTCTGCAAGATATGCATGTGTGTGTGTTTTTGTTGTACACATACATATACATGTAATTCTTTGAAAATTATTCTTATTTAATTATTAATTCTATTTAAAATTTTTTATAATTCCGGTTACAGTTCTTTATTTTGTGCCTGGATTTGATGGCTATTTTTAGTTTTTCATCATTTAATCCTGTTCAGTTGAAGAATCCTCTCTACTCCTTCTTAGCTGAGTGGACTCTACTTGCCATTTATCTTCACAAATATCTGCTTTGGCGTCCATCCTATCTAGTTCTCAGTTCACACATGTCACCCCTGACATCCCTCACTTCTGTTTGTGTGGCTTCATGAGTGGTCTGTGTGGTCATGGGATCCCATGCTGGGTGGAGGCACTGAAATCACCATGGTGCTGACACCCAACTGCCTAGATTCTCTATTCATGTTTTTTGTCTGCAATCTTGGTGACACTCCAGGGCTTTGCCTAGAAACAGGACACAGAGCCCATAAATGGGAGCCCCATGTCACCCTTCCACACCTGTTCAGCCCTCATCTCTGATACCTACGCCCTCACTATGTCTCCTCCATCTCTCTCTCCCTTCTTTAGTGGGGGAGTCTTTTCTGTCTAGGGACTCAAGGCACCACTCTCTTTTATTATTTCTCTCATTTCTGAGGTTAGGAGTAGTCTCAGTTCACCAGGTCATCTTAGGACTTTAGGCTTTTGGAAAGCAAAGCTAGGAAGATACTTTATTTCCCCCCATTTGACTCTGCCATAGCCCTCACAAAATATAGCTATTCTCAGTCAGTATGGAAGAAGACAGGGCACCTGAGCTAGTGTGGCATGGGGAAGCAAAATGGAAAAAATGCATGATAGTGTTTTACACATGACTTAATATTTCAAATACGTTACTCTACTCAAAGGTACTAATGATGTGAATTTCCTGGATTTGACACTGACTTAACCCAGTAGGCATCCCACCATATAAAAAGTCTGGCAGTACAGGATTCAACAATATACTGCAAGCAATTATTTTACAGATGAAGATCAATAAAATGAGCAGTACTCAGGGAAGAATTGGGGGATATTACAGCATAAATCAATAAAAATTTTAGATAACAGAGTAAATTTTCTGCTAAACTGTCCTACAAACTTTGGCCTTTATTTATTCTGGGCTTCTCATTTGGCCATACATTTTTATAAAAAATTATAAAAGTAAGTTTATTTTCTAAACAATAATCATGTATCATATTTCCCTTCTTTCCAGGTGGTATTGGAATAGCAGCAGGCATTGTTAAGGTCTAACCAAGGGGAAGTTGAGTTGGGGATACACTGGACATTTTGGATTATAGGGGCAGGGCCAGAAGTCTTAGGACAATTGGAGTGTGTTCACAGTGCCTGGTGTAGGAATTATGAGGGTAGTGGGGAAGAAACAAGGTTTGAAGCATAAAACGCCAGAAGTGAATCTATGGGAAACAATTTTTTTCCACCAGACATAAAAAATTACCGGGGAAGCTGGTGGTGTGATCCAATCTTAGTCTAAAGGCCTGAGAACTTGAGGAGCTGATGTTAGAATTATGAGTCCATTGTCAAAGGCCTGAGAACCGAAGGGGTCACTGATATTAGGTCCTGGAGTCCAAAGGCCTGAGAATCTAGAATTCTCGTGTCCAAGGTCAGGAAAAGATGGATGCTCCAGCTCCAGAAGAGAGAAAGTAAATTTTTCCTTTTTTTGCCTTTGTCTTCTATCTGGGCCCTCAAGGGATTGAATGACATCTACTCACATTGATGAGGATAGATCTTTTTTGCTGAAGTTAGCTATTCAAATGCTAATCTTTTCCAAAAACACCTTCATAGATATATCCAAAAAGAGTGTTTTACCAACTCTCAGGGCGTCCCTTAGCCCAGTCAAGTTGGCACCAATAATTAATCATCACATCAGGTTTGTAAAATTTATAATTTATTTTCCCACTCTACGTAAGTATTAGTGCATATATCTAATTCAATCTAATTCATTTGTTAGTATTCATTGATTTTATGATTTATTTTTCTTTAACTCAAGACCATTAAAATTGTGTAAATTTCAGTCCCTAAGTTATTGAATCTGCTCTGATTAACTGACATTTTATATATTAAATTGTTCATTTTTAAATTTTTTGTCACCTCCCACATAACAAGCTCTATGTGTGTAGAAACTGTTTTGTCCTCAACTGTATCACCAGCACATGGAACCATGACAGCACATAGAAGGCACTTGATTAATATTTATTAAATGAATGAGTAAACAGTGCTACCTTGAGGATGGGTTATCAGTATTTCTTCAGTTATTTTGATAATTCTTATTGCTGGCTTGTGCTGTGAATTTGCAATGGTTTGCTGAATAAATGCTCTATCAAACATAATAAAGGCATTTTGTGCTATTTTCAAAAATTACCATTTAGCATGTGCTTCTTAACAGAACTAAATGAGAGGAAACACAGTGCTGCCATTAACTCAACTATTTCTTCCCATTAATCATTTTATGCAGACAAAACAATGTACTCATCAACCTGTTTAGTACTCAAATCAATCAAAATCAAATTGGGTAGAAATTAGCCAAGGCCACCTATTTCTTTAGGTATTTATTGTGTACCTGTTACATATCTAGCATAGAGCCAGGCATTTGGGGAGATAGTCAATAACTATATAGGACTTTATTTCTTCTTTAAGGGCAGCAAAAACGTTCTCTATTTCCTATATACTAGATGCTTAGTGTGATAGATTTTTGACTTGTTAGTTTGACTGGGCTGAACTATAGTCCCCAGGATTCCCTATATGTGTCTGGCTAGGGCAGGTTACAAAGGTTATTCTCTCATGAGAAAATAGAGAGGCAATGGTCATTTTGTAACGTACATATAACTTCTTCCAGTTATTAAAATACGAATCTAGACACTGCTGTGAAGATATTTTGCAGATGTGATTAAAGTTTCTAATCAGACTTTAAGTTAATGAAGAAGAAGATTATTCAGGGTGAATCTGAATTATTTGGAAAGCTTTTAGAAGAGGACTTAGGCTTTTCCTAAGTCAAGGACTCCAGATAGCTGCTGGGTCTGTAGTTGTTCTCCCTTCTCTGTGGATCTTTCTTTCTGACCATTACCTGTGAACAGGAAGCTTCAGTTCATGCCTTGTGTGGTTCCAGCCAGCTTGTCTTCTGCCTATGGACTTTGAACTTACTTGGCCAGTCCCTGCAATTGTACTAGCCAGTTCCTTGTAATAAATATATCTCCTTCTAGTTCTGTTTCTCTGGTTGGACCTGATTAATACACCAGTAAATATTTTTGACAAGACATATTCTCTCTCTCAAGGAGTTCACAATCTCACAGGTGAACTGGTTCATCAGATGAAAAGCATAGATAATAGCTCAAGATCATCTTTGTTATAAGCCAAAATGTGTGACACAGAAAGTAAGCACTGTAGCATGGCAGAATAATGAAAGGTCAATATGGCTAAGAATTAGTGGAAAAGCTTTTACAAATAAAATAGAATTTAAATTTGTTCATGAAGGAAGAATAAAATTTAAAAAGTCAGAGAAAAGAGAGAAAACCATTGTCTTTTGTAAATAGAATTAGCATAGTTGTTGAGATAAAAATTAGTATCTTGAATACAGAGAATAGCAAAGTAATTTAACTTTTGACTAACACCTCACTTAACCCTTCACCTTTGTTGTCCTTCAACAAGCAACTAGAGAATCTAATAATGTCTTTAATTTATTGTGAATCAGCACCAAGAAAATGCCAAGTATTCAATTCTAATGATCTTTAAAGATCATTAATAGCAATGTTACTTTTTGTCTTATGTGTTCAAACTAAAGTCAAGAATCCTGAGTAAAGTGGGGTCTTTTTTAAAAGAAAAAGAAATAAAGGATTAAGAGCATAGCAATGAAAATAGAGATCACATCCTCTGAGCCTAAAAAATAGTCTTTAGCTTCAAACTCAGCCTTCAACTCCCCACCATCGAACCACTGATGAGTGGGTTAATATTTGACCCATCAGTGAGCCTCCAAGGCTCAGCTTTAAACTCTTCTGATTTCTCTTCTGACTGGCTGGTGCCCAGGTCATCCTGGTTGTTAAATATTTTAAAGGGCATTTCCTCAGTTACTAATTTTACATGTATTATCTATCGTTCAGAACTGCTGAAGTCTGTCATCTCTGATGTTTTTTTCTGATTTCTTTTGTATTGGGGGTTTATGCCTTAGTGATCCTAATACTGTGATTTCAGTAGAGTGCCAGGAGGAAGAAGAGATAAATACATTTAGTCAGCATATTTCATTTAACTGTAGATTTGTTCAGTAACCTTGAAGCATGCCAAAAGCATCCTCTAGAATAGGGTTTATATAAAAGTGTACTGTGGAATGTTGTTAGCAAGCGCTGCAGAACATACATAAGCGTTCCTTCATCCAGAAAGTGTGGAAATGTTGGATTAAATAAATACACGTTTTGTTTTGTTTTCTGCTAGCTCTTTACTGCCTTTTCTGTGCTATTGTTCATTATTAATTTCCAAGCCAGGGTTAAAATATCGCACGTTTCTTTTTTCTTACAGAATTCTTCCAACTTTTAAATGGAACACAAGTGTCCTTTTAAGGTAATAACACCTTATTGTGAGCACTATTTTAGAAAGTGATGCACAAATTGGGAGCTCTTCCGCAGGATCACCTGAGGTCCATTGTGCACCCAACACTCTTTTAGATGGGAACCAAAGTCTCCTCTACATTTCAGCAAAGAAACTGGGAACTGTATATCCCAGAATCCCCTTCCCTGAGTAGTCCTGGGTTTGAATTTGCCAATGAAAGAAACTTGGAAGAAAATAATTATTCTCTGGATATGGTTGCAGCCAGATGTGTGGTCAGAGGTGAGTGCTTGAGAACCACCAGTTTAGTGGTTTTAGTCCGAGTTTGTTCATAAGACCTTTCTAGAGACACCAGAGAATTGCAGCAACTTCCAGATAAGACCTTCAACCAACCACTTCAGTGCTTTAGGCTGAGATGACTTCTTTGACTTTCAGAGGCAGGACCCCTAAATGTTGGTAGAAGCTTCTCTATCTCTGTTCTTCTGTTTTCCAACAGAAGTATAAACCCCTAATTCTTTATTATGTGCATCCTTAAGATCCATGATACACAGGGTGGTCTCTGTTTTCCTGATGAACCACAACTGACTCAATACTAATGGTGTCAGTGAGACAGTCAGAAATATTTATGTAGTTACCTATTCAAATATTGGAATAACTACTTATAATTCATGAAATTTACTCAATTTCAGGAAGCCAATGTTTAGAGGATTTTTTCTATATCCTTTTCCAATTTACCCAAAGGTGTCAGCATTACTGAAGTCACAAAGACCTTGGCCAGTGTATGTAAATTGAACTTTGAAAAAAAATTAGCATTATAATATGCTACAGATGGTATATCAAACTCAAATAAACTAATAATATTGAATTAGCAAGCTTTCTTATCGGAAAAATACCTCTTGAACATTGGTAGAGCATAAAGACTAACTTGAAATTAAAGGGCAAAAACCAACACAAGCAAAATGATATTAAAAAAAAAAAGCCCAGCTGGACATGGTGGTTCATGCCTGTAATCCCAACACTTTGGGAGGCCAAGACCAGAGGATTGCTTGAGCACATGAGTTCGAGACCAGCCTGGACAACAAAGTGGGATCCTGTCTATAAAAAAATAAAAAAATTAGCCAGGCATGGTGGCACACATCTGTAGTCCCAGCTACTCAGAAGGCTGAGGTAGGAGGACTGCTTGAGTCCAGGAGTTTGAGGCTGCAGTGAGCGGTGATTGTGCCACTGCACTCCATGAGACCCTGTCTCAAAAAAAAAAAAAAAAAAAGAAAGAAGAGAAAGCAGTCCAACAGCTTTCTGCTTTCTAGATCAGGATATATAAATAAGTACTCTCATATCTCTATCTCTGTTCACTCCAAATATGCATTCATTCAGCTTCAACCTGAAGGGATATTCATCTTTGAACACTGTGTACAGTAGTCTCCCCTTATCTGTGGGGAAACAGTCCAAAATCCCTAGTGAATTCTTGAATCCGTGGATAGTACCAAACTCTATATATGCGATGTCTTTTTCTATACATACATAAACTATGATAAAATTTAATTTACGAATTAGGCCTGTTAAGATATTAACAAAAATAACTAATAATAAAATAGAACAATTAATATACTGTAATAAAAGTTATGTGAATGTGGTCTGTTTCTCCCTCTCAAAATACATTATTGTACTGTAATCACCTGTTTCCAGACTCTGGTTGACCATGAGTAGTTGAAACTATAAAAAACAAAACCCTGGATATAAGGGGAGAACTACTAATGTATTACAATCACCTTGTTCTTCAATAGATAGATTTATTCTAGAGACTAGAACTCTATGCATTATGACCTCCTACAGAGCCAGGAGAAGGCCTAGTTTATTTTCTTTGCACAGGAACTTGAACAATACAGAGTTAAGTACTGAAAATGTTTCCCTGAATTGATTTTGGAGGTCAGATATTGACTTGTCTTTTCTGCTCTGTGCATATCTTGCTTTCTGCTCCATTTGTGACATGGAAGTTCAAGTAGACACATCTGAAGACCAGTTAAATCTAAGTTAAATATCCTCTCACCTAGGCCAAAGACAGTTGGACAGAACAATAGAGCTGCTCATTCAGGGACTGATCTTTCAGTTCTTTTTTGAATAAGTAATGTGTTTTCAGAGCTTCCCAATCTGTGAAAGATCATAAAGAATCACACAGTTCATTTACATGTCAGTCAATCAATGATAATGTATTAGGCACTTCCTATGTGCCTAGCATTGTAAAAGTTGCCTATTATATTTCAGTGTCAATACATAACAATATGTTTTGGCCCTTATATGGAATAAAATATATTCTTTTTCTAAAAGAGAGTCAAAATGATATTGTACTTAGTGAAATTTTAATACATATCAGGTCATCATGAATTATTGAACAGGTTTCCTTTAATCTAGCATGAGCAAGAACAGGTTCAATATCACACATCATTCCTTTTTATAAAAATATGTGATCTTATTTTCAAGGATGTTCTGGGAGATATCAGAGTCTCAAAAAGCAGATGACATACTGTAGCCGAAATGCCACCAACCTGAAAACAGAAGAGAACTTTGCAAGGCCAGAATTCAGTTGTTTGTTCAATTTTTCAAGCAAAGAAACCATTTAGTTCTGAAAAGCAACCAGGGAGAAATTTCTTGAAAAGTAGTCTGAAAAGAGACTGCAATTTCCCCAAGTTCTCGGTCAGCATAGGGAGGCTGTTAACAAGATCATCAGACTCCTAAACCTCTAGTAATCAACGTTTTCTAATAAAACCCAGGATTTGTAAGCCTCATATTAACAAATTGCATCTGACTTAAGCTGGATGGGCCTGACTTTAAATGATTTCATTACTTGATCTTTCTGTTCTTCCATTGACTCACTACCAAAGACTTAAAGACAAAACAAAAGGCCAGGTGTGGTGGCTTATGCCTGAAATCCCAGCACTTTTGGAGGCTGAGGTGGGTAGATTGCATGAACTCAAGAGTTGGAGACCATCCTGGGCAACACGGTGAGATCCTGTGTCTACAAATAATACAAAAATCAGCCAGGCCTGGTGGCATTTGCCTGTAGTCCCAGCTATTGGGGAGACTGAGGTGGGAGGATAGCTTCATCCTGGGAGGTCAAGACTGCAGTGAGCCATGATTGCGCCACTGCACTCCAGCCGAGGTGACAGAGCGAGACCTCATCTCTTAAAAAAAATAAAAGAAAGAGAAAAGACAAAAGATTATCAAAACTTGTGTTTTTCTTTTGTTGACCTATGGTGTAGTTTTAAGCAAATTGAAGAGGAGGGAGAAACTTATAAAACAGACACTACATCTTATTAAAGAAATATTTTAAGAAACATTATATTTAAGTGGCTTCAGCTAATTAATTACTTGTTTTGCTGATTTGGATGGAGAAATTAGCAAAAATAAATCTTGAAAATGGAGTTTTAGTAGGCTTCCATTTATAAAAATTCAATTTTACCCCACTTGAAATAATCTATTTGTTGCATCAGGTTACATTATTGCTGGCTGATATGATTACTAGTGGGCATATACTGTACATGTTATTGCATCTCTGCACCTGGTTTGTTGGTAAATACATGTTGCTGATAACAGCAGCTAAATCTCAGAACACAGACAAGTCTGAGCATATCTGTTACTGAAACTGAGTAAACAATTCAAAATTCATGTTCTTTTAAAATATATCACCTTAAAAACATAAAGGTCACTGCATATCCAGGATGAATAAGTTTAAGAAGAGTGTCAGGATGGTGGCATATTTAGATGTATCACTGTGATGTTTCACTGTGGTATTTTATGATGTGGCATATTAGCCAATGTGTTCATGGTCAAATGATTCAGAGCAGATTTTAAACCAAATTTTAATATTGACTTTTAGCATATGCATAATAAAGTGAGTAAAGCACACTATTCTTAAGTGTCAGCTCAAGGAACTTTTACACTCATATCCAAATAACTACCACTTAGATTGAGATGTAACATTTCCAACAGCCAGAAATTTCCTTCATGCCCCTCCTCAGTCAAAACCCAGTGACTTCAAGGAAACTAAGACTCTAGATTTTGTTATAATCAATTAGTTTTGCCTGTTTTTGAACTTCATATAAATGGAATTATAGAGTATGTACTCTTTTTAACCTGGCTTCATTTACTTAACATAAAGTCTGAAAGTTTGAGCCATATGATTGCAGGTAGTATCCATTTGTTCTTTTTTTCCTCTGATGTAGTATAGATGCTCCTTGACTTATGATGGGGTATGTCCTGATAAACCTGTTGTAAGTTGACAATATAGTTAGTCAAAATGCATTTAATATACGTAACCTACTGAACATCATAGCTTAGGCTCACTTCCTTAGACGTGTTCAGAGAACTTACATTAGCCTATACTTGGGCTCAAAAATCTAACACTACTTGATAATAAAGTGTTGACTATCTCATGTAATTTATTGGACACTGTACTGAAAGTGAAAAGCAGAATGGTTGTATGGGTACTTAAAGTATGGTTTCCATACCACCTTAAAGTTCAAAAATCATAAGTCAGCCAAACCATTGTTAAGTCAGGAACCATCTGTATTCCATTGTATGAATTTTCACAGTTTATGTATCCATTCTCCTACTGACGAGTATTTCAGTTGTTTCTAGTTGGGAGAGTGATATGATTTGGCTCTGTGTCCCCACCCAAATCTCATCTCAAATTGTAGTTCCCAAGTGTCACAGGAGGGACCTGTAATCCCCATGTGTTGAGGGAGGGAGGTGATTGGATCATGGGGGCAGTTTCGCCCATGCTGTTCTCATACTAGTGAATGAGTTCTCATAAGATCTGATGGTTTTATAAGTGTTTGGAAGTTCTTCCTTCATCCCCCTCTCTTGCCTGCCACCATGTAAGATGTGCCTGCTTCTCCCACTGAAAGGAGTTAGTTAGCTTGCCTTAGGTAGATAACAAGGAAAGGGTCCTGGAGAGCCCCCGGCCCATGGGTCAGTTCCTCATCCCCACATAACATAAAAAGCAGCCTGGGAAAAAATTCAAGCTGCAGGCACCGATAAGGGAACTAGCACAGGGTGTTGTGCCTGGAGACATGCCCACAGCTGCACAGATAGAAAAAACCTCCGGCCCATTTGGCTGAAAACTTGCACAAACCTCCAGCTCACTCAGACAAGGGAACAAGGCCTGGCATAGAAATGCCTTTGTCCTGTGTATAGTCAGTGGGCTCCCAGGAAAAGTTTCTTCTCCTTTTGTGGGCATGGGCATGGTGGACTCTGGGGGGTTCCAGTGGGCACTCTACTTTCCTTTATTAGGACTATAAGTCCAGCTCCTGTGACTCATCACTTCAGCCTCTGATTGGTCCCGGGCCAGGCTTTCACTTCAGCTTCTAACAGGTCCTGGGCCAAGCTGAGCAGCCTCTATGAATCATCATTTCAGCTCCTGGTTGGTACCAGGCCAAGCTGAGTCATACATTCACTAAGACAGCTCACTGATTAAGCTCATTCCTTCCCCTTCCCAGACCATAAAAACCCTGGACCCCAGACTCATAGTGGGTCTTCCTATTTGGGACCCCCTCTTCTGGAAGAGAGCTTTCTTCTTTCAGCTGTAAACTTTTGTTCCAACCTCACCTTTGTGTCTGTGCTCCTCTGGGCATTATCTAAGACAACGAAAGACTGTTACACTTCTGCCATAATTGTAAGTTTCCTGAGGCTCTCCAGATGTGCAGAACTGTGAGTCAATTAAACCTCTTTTCTTTATAGATTACCTAGTCTTAGGGAAGTCCTTTATAGCAGTGTGAGAATGGACTAATACAGAGATACAGTTAGTAAAGCTGCTATGAACATTCTTGTACAGATCATTTGGTGAAATCAGAGAAGATTTTAGCTTTCAGTAATGCTTACTTAGACATGATGTTTATAATTATTCCTCTTTCATAAATAAGCCCAGGGGAATTGTGAGCTATGTGGCATCCTTCAGTACAAGGTTCTTCCAGCCCTACAGCTGTACTTAGACTATCAAGAGTATCGTTTGTCCAATTCCAGAAAGAATAATTCACGTTGTATTCTGGGATCCAGTGGGCACAGTGACACCAATGGATGGTGGACTCCTGGCCATCATTTGATCAGTACCTCCAAGTGATGGAGAGAAACAGACACTGATGACATCACTTGAGCTTCATGCCATGACTGAAGCTATGCTTAAAGCCAAATATACTCCTGGACTTTGCAGTTTTCTAAACCAATAGATTTAAATGATTATTATCGATATAACCGTTATTATGTACACCATCATTCTGGGATAAAGGAACAGGTAGCAACTCCCAGATCCATGATTTATTGTAACTTTGAGCTCGCTTAGCCTATGCTATGCACAATTGTAATTTATGAGCATGGGATGATAATAATCTATTTGGATCTGAAATTTACTTTGTGTATTGTGCACTGCTATGCAGTTGTTAATTTTTTAGCATCACACTTTTATTTTTTATCTTCCTTTTCTTAAAAATTGACATTTCAAATAGAAACCTTAAGCAACATTGATAACTATTTTCAACATATCTTCTACCAGATATTTTCTTTATTAACGTAGTTAGTTTATGTATTTAGATAATCAATATTTTAAAAATCTCTCAAGGCTTGTTATAAACTACAAATAAAGTAGGGAAGGGACTCACTTACTAGTCAACTGCAAAAAGGTGCCAAGCCTTCTGTATAACTTATTGCTCTTACTGTTCTTACTTGTCTGCTTGGCTTTGCAAACAAGTGAGAGGTCTTCTATTAATTATGCTCTTAATGTTGTTACAATAATATTTTGAGAACTGTACAGATGTTCTCTGGGAAATGGTTAAAAAACCAGTGTCCTTATAGAGGTACAAGGTAATTCTAACCCAGTATGGTAAATGATAATGAGTCATTTTTCATAATTAAACCAGGAATAAAAAGATTAAGCCCAATGACTTCAGATGACAGCAATTTTAAATTATTTCATAGCAATTTGTAGTTTGTTTTCATTTAAAAATAAATCTAGTGATTTCTGGCTGGGCGCGGTGGCTCACGCCTTTGGGAGGCCAGCACTTTGGGAGGCCGAGGTGGGCAGATCACCTGAGGTTGGGAGTTCGAGACCAGCCTGACCAACATGGAGAAACCCCATCTCTACTAAAAATACAAAATTAGCTGGGCGTGATAGTGCATGCCTGTAATCCCAGCTACCTGGGAGGCTGAGGCAGGAGAATCACTTGAAACTGGGAGGCAGAGGTTGTGGTGAGTCGAGATCATGCCATCGCACTCCAGCCTGGGCAACAAGAGTGAGACTCTGTCTCAAAAATAAATAAATAAATAAATAAATAAATAAATAAATAAAAAAAATAAAATAAAAATAATAAATAAATTTAGTGATCTTTGTATTTTGCCAGTAAAGATTATTTAATTGTAAGTGATGTGAATATATTTCACATAGCTAATGCATAATAATAGTAATCTCAATAATCAAGGTTGAGCAGAAAGAGCATGGAGAAATATTCTGGTTTCTCCTCCCTCTAGCTTCCCACCTTCTGCAGTGCCTCTAACTAGCTAAGCCACAAGCTAGATGATGTGGGAGCCTATTGTAGTCAATCTCCCATCCATGTAAAGCAGAGGCTAATAACAACAAGGAATGCATTGGAAAGCAAGGCTCAGGAATGGCATGTTAGCCAGAATGAAAACATTATCAGCCTTAGACTAAATGCCTTAAATCAAAGCTGAAGCAAATGAAAAGTAGTTCAGAGGCTGAAATAGATATTCTCTTCTTTCTTAAGTAGTACTCATTCTGGGGTTATTTGTTCAAGTCTGTGACACAGTAAGGCTCTTTCCACTTTCCACAAGATTTGTAACCTAGAAAATCACCTAAGCATTGGTGATCCGGACTTCTTACTCTCACAGGAGTTGGGGAAAGTAAGTACTGAAATAGTTTGGAAGCACTTATAGTAAAAGCAGAATATATAACTGAGGCACTATAACTTTTTCTAGTACCTGGTTTATTGAAGAACACTGCTATTTATCTGGAAATAAATGCTAAAGCTTAAACTTGTTTCTTAGAAACTGCAGGTATTTTGATCTATGAAACTGTAACATGCCATATGGAAATAAAGCTTATTAAAGCTTAATTCTGTAAGGAAAACAACTGGCCATTCTTTGCTTATCTAATAACTGGGAACTAATAGCCAAATAAGATCTACTAGACCTTTGTATACCTATAAAGCAGTAGTCAGGCCCTTCAATTTGGGCATTATGAATAAGATAAAAGGATTTGTGAAGATGGCTTAAATTCATGCTGTATATTAAAATTATATATTTTAAAAATATATTTACGTATAATTAGTTGGTCTTGATGTCAGTTTCCAGTTTCTGTTCTATAAGAAACTATTACAATCTCCAAATCGTGAGAACTACTTCTATTGGAGTTTCTTTAAAGTATCCCCCATTGTTCAGCTTGATGATGGAATGTTCATTTCTTACAACAAGGCCTTTATTACTACTATTAATTTAATAACTCTGGTTTCACTGAATATTCTTTAAATATAATAGTTTACGTTTTTTTTTTTCAACTTTTATTTTAGATTCAGGGGGTACATGTGCAGGTTTGTTAACTGGGTATATTGTGTGATGCTGAGATACAAATGATCCCATCACCCAGGTACTGAGCATAATACCCAACAGTTTTTCAGCCCTTGCTTGCTCCTTTCCTTCCTTCCCTCTCTAGTAGTCCTCAGTGTCTATTGATGCCATCTTTATGTCTGTGAGTATCTAATGTTTAGCTCCCATTTATAAGTGAGAACATATGGTGTTTGGTTTTCTATTCTTTCATTAATTCACTTAAGATAATGGCCTCCAGCTGCATCCATGTTGCTGCAAAGGACATGCTTTCATTATTTTATGGCTGTGTAGTATTTTATGGTATATACATGCCACATTTTTTTTAACCCAATCCACCATTGATGGGCACCTATGTTGGTTTCATGTCTTTGCTATTCTGTATAGTGGTGCAATGAACATACAGTTGCATATGTCTTTTTGGTAGAATGATTTGTTTTCTTTTGGATATATACCGAGGATGGGGTTTACTGGGTCAAATGGTAGTTCTCTTTTTTTTTTTTTTTTTTTTTGAGGCGGAGTCTCGCTCTGTCGCCCAGGCTGGAGTGCAGTGGCGGGATCTCGGCTCACTGCAAGCTCCGCCTCCCGGGTTCACGCCATTCTCCTGCCTCAGCCTCCCAAGTAGCTGGGACTACAGGCGCCCGCCACTACGCCCGGCTAATTTTTTGTATTTTTAGTAGAGACGGGGTTTCACCGTTTTAGCCGGGATGGTCTCGATCTCCTGACCTCGTGATCCGCCCGCCTCGGCCTCCCAAAGTGCTGGGATTACAGGCGTGAGCCACCGCACCCGGCCGGTAGTTCTCTTTTAAGTTCTTTGAGAAACCTTCAAACTTTTTACAGTGATTGAACTAACTTACATTCCCACCAACAGTGTCTAAACAATCCCCTTTCTCCACAGCCTCATCAACATCTGTTGTTTTTTGACTTTTTGATTTAGACAGTATGACTAGTGTGATATGGTATCTCTTTGTGGTTTCGAGTTGCATTTCTCTGATGATTAGTGATGTGAATAAGTTTTTGATATGTTTGTTGGCTGCTTGTATGTTGTCTTTTGAGAAGTATCTGTTCATGTCTTTTGCACAGTTCTTTTTTTCTTTTTTTTCTTTTTTTTTTTTGAGACAGAGTTTTGCTCTTGTTTCCCAGGCTGGAGTGCAATGGCGTGATCTTGGCTCACCGCAACCTCTGCCTCCCAGGTTCAAGTGATTCTCCTGCCTCGGCCTCCCAAGTAGCTGGGATTACAGGTGCCCGCCACCACACCCAGCTAATTTTGTATTTTTAGTGGAGACAGGGTTTCTCCATGTTGGTCAGGCTGGTCTTGAACTCCTGACCTCAGGTGATCTGCCCGCCTCACCCTTCCAAAGTGCTGGGATTATAGGCATGAGCCACCATGCTCAGCCTTGTGCATTTCTTAATGGAGTTATTTATTTATTATTTTTTGTTGAATTAAGTTCTGTATAGGTTTCGAATGTTAGACCTTTGTTGGATGTATAGTTTGTGAATATTTTGTCCCATTTTATAGGTTGTCTGTTTACTCTGTTGATAGTTTCTTTTGCTGTGCAGAAGTGCTTTAGTTTAATTGGGTCCCATTGGAAATTTTTGTTTTCGTTGAAATTGCTTTTGTAGACTTAGTCATAAATCCTTTCTCAAGGCTGATGTCCAGAATGATATTTTCCAGGTTTTCTTGTAGGATTCTTGTAGTTTGAGATCTTACATTTAAATCTTTAATCCATCTTTAGCTATTTTTTTGTATATGGTGAAAGTAGGGGTCCAGTTCCATTCTTTTGCATATGGCTAGCCAGCTATCCCAGCACCATTTAATAGGGAATTCTTTCCCCCCTGCTATTTTTGTTGACTTTGTTGAAGATCAGATGGCTGCAGGTGTGCAGCTTTATTTTTGGGTTCTCTATTCTCTTCCACTGGTCTATGTGTCTATTTATGTACCAGTACCATGCTGTTTTGGTTACTGTACTCTTATAGTATAGTTTAAAGTCAGATAACGTGATGCCTCTGGCTTTGTTCTTTTTGTTTACAATTGTTTTTACTATTCAGGTTCCTTTTTGGTTCCATATAAATTTTAGAATAGTTTTTCCAGTTTTGTGAAAAATGATGTTGGTAGTTTGATAGGAATAACATTGAATCTGTACATTGCTTTGGGCTGTATGGCCATTTTAACAATATTGATTCCTCCAATCCGTAAGCATGGAATGTTTTTCCATTTGTTTGTGTTATTTATAATTTCTTTTAGCAGTGTTTTGTAGTTCTCCTTGTAGAGATCTTTCACCTCCTTGGTTAGATGCATTCCTAGATTTTTGTTTTTGTTTTTTCGTGTGTGTGTGTGTGTGAGTGCATTTGTGGGGGCCTATTGGAAATGAGATTATGTTCTTGATTTGGCTCTCAGCATGAACATTGTTGGTGTATAGAAATGCTACTGATTTTTGTGCATTGATTTTGTATTCGGAAACTTTACTGAAGTTATTTATTATTTCCAGAAGCCTTTTGGCAGAGTCTTCAATGTTTTCTATGCGTAGAATCATATTGTCTATAAAGAGAGATAGGTTGACTTCTTTTCCTATTGGGATGCCTTTTCTTTCTTTCTTTTGCCTGATCTCTCTGGCTAGCACTTCCAGTACTATGTTGAATAGGAGTGGTGAGAGTGGACATCCTTTTCTTGTTTCATTTCTCAAGGGGAATGCTTACATATTGCCCATTCAATGTGATGTTGGCTGTGGGTTTGTCATAGATAGTTCTTCTTATTTTGAAGCATGTTCTTTTGATGCCTAATTTTTTGAGGGTTTTTTCATGAAGGGATGTTGGATTTTATTGAAAGCTTTTCCTGCATCTATTGTGATGATCATATGGTTTTTGTTTTTAATTCTACTTACGTGGTGAATCTCATTCATAAATTTGTGTATGTTAAATCAACCTTATCAGCCTTATCAGCATCCCAGAAATGAAGCCTACTCGATCATGGTGAATTCACTTTTTGATGTGCCGTTGAATTCGGTTTGCTAGTATTTTGCTGAGGATTTTTGCATCTATGTTCATCACAAATATTGGCCTGCAGTTTTCTTTCTTCATTGTGTCTGCTAGGTTTTGGTATCAGGGTGAAGCTGGCTTTATAGAATGAATAAGGAAGTCCCTCCTCCTCAATTTTTTTTTGAATAGTTTAGTAGAATTGGTACTGGCTCTTCTTTGTACATTTAGTAGAATTTGGTTGTGAATCCATCTGGTCCAGGGCTTTCTTTGGCTGGTAGGTTTTTTATTACTGTTTCAATTTTGGAACTCGATATTGGTCTGTTTAATGTTTTGATTTCTTTGTGATTCGATCTTGGGAGATTGTGTGTTTCCAAGAATTTATTGATTTCCTCTAGATTTTCTAGTTTGTGGGTGTAGAGGTGTTTATAATAGTCTCTGGAGATTTTTTGTATTTCTGTGGGATTGATTTTAATGTTACCTTTGTCATTTCTTATTGTGCTTATTTGGATCTTCTCTTTTTTTTATTGTTAATCTAGCTAGTGGTCTATCAACTATTTTTATTTTGTCAAACAACCAGCTTTTGCTTTTGTTGATTCTTTGTGGCTTATTGGGTCTCAGTTTTGTTCAGTTCCACTCACATTTTAGTTATTTCTTTTCCTCTTCTGACTTTGGTGTTACTTTGTTCTTGTTTTTGTATTTCTTCTAGATGTGATGTTAGATTGTTAATTTGAGATCTTCCCAACTTTGAGGTAGGCATTTAGTGCTATGAACTTTCCTCTTAACACTGTTTTTGCTGCATCCCAGAGATTTTGGTATATTGTGTCTCTGATTTCATTTATTTCAAGAATTTTTTAAATTTCTGCCCTGATTTCATTGTTTACCAAAAAGTCACTCATTAACAAGTATTTAATTTCCATATAATTGTGTGGTTTTGTGAGATCTTCTTGGTATTGATTTCTATTTGTATTCTAGTGTGGTCCAATAATAGGTTGTTATGAATTTGATTTTCTTGCATTTATTGAGACTTATTTTATGGCTTATCATGTGGCTAATCTTGGAATATGTTCCATGTGCAGATGAGAAGATGTATATTCTGTGGTTGATGGGTGGAGTATTCTGTAGATGTCTATTACGTTCAATTAGTCAAGTGTTGACTTTGCATACAGAATTACTTTGTTAGTTTTCTGCCTCAATGCTATGTCTAATGTTGTCAGCGGGGTGTTAAAGTCCCCCACTATTATTGCGTCTAAGTCCTTTTTTAGGTCTAAAAGTGTTGGTAGAAGAGCTGAGGCAGGACTGGCTTGTCTGTCATAATATAAAAGAGTCTTGGAAGATGCCTGGGGTCTAAGGTCTAAAACATTTCGTGGCCTTTGGAACACTAAGCTTTGTGCCAAAAGGTGGAAGACTGTCTTGCCGCAGCTCTTCTACCAATATGTCCCCCTCTTCTTTTTTGCAAAGACCCACCTTATGTACTCTTAACCTGTTTTTTCTCATTCCTTTGACTCTGCCAGACTTCATAGCCCCCATGGCCTAGTGTTAGGTCTGATCACCCCAAAATAAAAGTACTTGTTTTATGAATCTGGATGCTCCAATTTATATTTGAATGCTCCAAAATATACATGGATGCATATATATTTAGAATAGTTAAGTCTTCTTGTTGTATTTAACCCTTTATCATTTTGTAATGCCCTTCTTTGTCCTTTTTATTGTTGTTGGTTTAGTGTCTGTTTTATCTGATATAAGAATGGAGACCTCTGCTCTTTTTCATTTTCCATTTGCATGGCAGATCTTTCTTCAGTTCTCTACTTTGAGCCTATGGGTGTTGTTACATGTGAGATGCTCTTGAAAACAACAGGTGGATGAGTCTCTTTTTATCCAAGTTGGGACTATGTGCCTTTTAACCGAGGCATTTAAACCATTTACATTCAAAGTTAATACTGATATGTGAGGTTTTGATTCTATTGTGAAGTTGTTAACTGTTTGCTTTCCAGTGTCAGATGTGTGGTTGCTTTAGTAGGATCTATGGGCTATTTACTTAAGGGTGTTTTTGAAACAGGTATGCTTTTTTGTTTCCATGTTTAGAACTTCCTTAAGGATATCTTATAAGGTTGGCCTAGTGGTAAGAAATTCCTTTAGTGCTTGCTTGTCTGGATAATATTTTATTTCTCCTTTGTTCATAAAGTTTAGTTTGGCAAGCTATGAAATTCTTGGTTGGAATTTCTTTTCTGTTTATTTCATTTATTTTTTTGCTAAAAAAATAGGCCCTGATCTCTCCTGGCTTGTAAGGTTTCTGCTGAAGAAGTGTGCTGTTAGCCTGATGGGCTTCCCTTTATACATGATCTACCCTTTTTCTCCAGCTGCCTTTAAGATTTTTCCTTTAGCATTGACCTTGGACAGTTTGGTGACTATATGCCTTGATGTTTATTTTGCATAGTATCTCATAGGTGTTTTCTGGATTTCTTGTTTCTGGATGTCTGCCTCTCTAGCAAGATTAGGGAAGTTTTCTTGAATTATTCCCCCAAGTATATTTTCCAGGTTGTTGACTTTTTCTCCTCTTAGGAATGCCAGTAATTTATAGGTTTGGTTTCTTTACATAAGCTCATATTTCTCAAAGATTTGTTCATATTTTGAGTTTTTTTTTCTTTTGTCTGACTGGGTTAGTTCAAATGGTTGGTCTTCTAGCTCTGAAATTCTTTCTTTTGCTTAGTCCAGTCTATTGATAAGGTTTTCAATTGTATTTGGAAATTCCACAAGTGAGTTTTTTATTTCCAGAATCTCTGATTGATTTCTCTTTAATATGTTTATCTCTTCCTTCATTTCCTGGATTTCCTTAGAAGTTTCTTTATGTTGGTTTTTAACCTTTTCTTGGATTTCATTGAGCTTCTTTGCAATCCATGCTTTCAATCTGTCATTTTTGCTTCCATTTTGATTAGGGATAATTGCTGGAGAGCTAGTATAATTGTCTGGTGATTTCACTACACTCAGTTTTTTTTTTTTTTTTTATGGTGCTAAAATTCTTGCACTGAATCCTTCTCATCTGGAAATGCTGGCATTTTTAATTTTTGTAATTATTTTTGTGTGGGTAAGATTTTATCTTTTGTTTTCTTTCCCTATAATGTTATTATTATAATTACTTTTCATTTTCCTTTCCCTTTTCCCCCTCCTTAGGGGGGTGTGACAGTAGAGAATTCTGGGTAGGGTCCTTTTGCCTTGCTTCTATAGTCTTAGGCACTTCTGTCAGCAGGTCTTATATTCTGCACAACAGCTGTGCAGTTTGACCTACAGGCCCATAGATGGAACTTATAGGTAGGAGCCAGCTGCAGCCAATGTGGCTAAATACTTGATTCTTATTTACTGGCAGAAGGTCTCTGTTGTCATAGGCAATGAGTTGACTCATGGAATGCACGGTAGTCTGAGCTCCCTGCTCAGCTCCAGAGGGGCAGGGACCACAAAGGTCCACCCATAGGTCCCCCGATGGCAGGCACAGGCACCAGCACTTAGGGAGAATCCAGTAGGCAGCCACCAAGTGCCCAGAGAGTGACTAGACATGGAGCTGGGAAACCTCCTCAGCTCCAAGCTCACAGGGATTCAGGGGTGCCCTCAACTCCTAATCCAGGAGAATGGGTGCTCCAAATGCCTGGAGATCTACGTAAGTATGGAGCAGAGAGGGCCTCATTACATCATAATCTCAGGGGAGCAGGGTGTGGCGGTGGGACACCAAACTGATCTGAGTTGCAGTCCATTTCACCCACCGAACTAGAACTCAAATGAGTTCCAGTTCATCAAGCTGGCTCTGGCTGCAAGTCTTGCTGTCTAGGAGAAACTGCAGCTGTAGCAGCTCTCCTCCCACCCCAGGCTTGCAACTGGGAGAGCACAACTCTAGCACCTACTTCTGAGGCACTTTCTACAGTTCTGGTTGTGGAGGCCCTTACCCCACTCAAGAGCAGGTACTCCAACCTCTGGCCTGAGACTAAAATGCTTGCATGGCCGTGCTGCTGGGTAGCCATGGAATGGCTGACTTTGCATGCACTTGGATTAAAAATGGCATTACGCTATAAGTACTGGGTCTGCAAAAATGTCTGCAGCTTTTCCCAGTTTCTTTCCCTCACAGCATCTCCAAGCCTCTTCCCAAGTTAGCTCCAGGGCTTGGGAGAAACAAAGTGCTCTCTTTTGGCTTGGGTTGCTTGGATCCCCACTGTAAAGGTGAGTCATGAGGGAGACTCTGCCTCTCTCACATACTGGGGCTTCACTCACTTTTATCAGATGCACACTGTAATGGGGGCTGTTTGCCAGCATCCAGGATCTGTGGTGTCCTTCACAATTTTGATGAATTCCCATTTTCCTTCTTGAATTAAAGCTCACAGAGTTGATCTCTATGTACCATCTTGCTATTTCCAAGTGGCTGAGGTATGTGGAAAGCCTCTAATCTGCCATCTTGACAAAAACAAACAAAAACCCAAAAACCTACATTGATTTTTGACTGTTGAACTAACCTTGCATTCCTGAGATACATCCTAGTTGGTCAGAAAATACCACTCATTTTATATATTTCTGGATTTGAGGATTCAAAAGTCTAGGTTAATAAAAGATTTTGGTGTGTAATTGTTCTGTAAAGTCTTTATCAGATTTCTCTGAAAAGACTGCCACAGTCTACTTGAGTTTTCCCTTTCTATGCCAAGATCAGGAAGAATTCTCTCTGGTGCACAAGTAAAACTCACCTTGTGATTTGACCTTCCTTTGGAGATTGAAGTATTTCATCATCTTTTGTCTATTGTCTGGAAACAATTGCCACATTTATTTCTTCCTGTTTTATAGTTGTTTGCAATAGGAGGATTAATCTGGAACATGTTAGTCATGGCGAGCAGTGGATATAACTTTATAAAATAGTCTGATATATGGTAGACTGTTTTTTATTTTCAAAAACATATTGGCTCTTGTTATATACTTATTATGTTATATTTATTACTTGAATTGTACTCATTTATTCAATTAATATATACTTATCAGTCAAGGACCTATTATGTGCTATCAATAATATCAAGTATTGAATATAGAATGAAGAGTGAAAGAGGTTTGTTATTTCACTTTAAGTGATATAGATACACCCTAGAACTAGCTTGTGACAAAAGTAAGCTTTATATTTCACTGGATTTAATTAAATTTATAAAATAATTTAGGGGAAGATTAATGCCTTTGCAATATTTTTTCTTCCATTCCACAGAGATAATTTCAAATTACCTTTCCTTGAAAAATAAGTTTTATAAATCCTCTCTCTTTTCTTAAATATAGAACTGGCATATTTCATGTTTAGTTAATCCTGGGTATCTTATGGGTTTTGTTGCTATTGTCAATGTGCTGTTGTTTTTTCCTTCACCCTCTAGTGGTTTTTGCTGGTATAAAGAACAGCTATTGCCTTTTGTATGAACCATTTACTGATCTCTATAACATCTTAATAGTTTTTTCTTTGGGATTTGCCAGATAGAGCTTACTGGAACTTTATTTTCATGAAATATGCCTACAAAATACTGGTTATCACATACTGGGGCTTCACTCACTTTTATCAGATGCACACTGTAATGGGGGCTGTTTGCCAGCATCCAGGATCTGTGGTGTCCTTCACAATTTTGATGAATTCCCATTTTCCTTCTTGAATTAAAGCTCACAGAGTTGATCTCTGTGTACCATCTTGCTATTTCCAAGTGGCTGAGGTATGTGGAAAGCCTCTAATCTGCCATCTTGACAAAAACAAACAATTAATGTAGTGTCTGTATTTGTCTAATGTAAGCAGGCTGTATATGCTTTGTCTTTGCGGGGGTTGGTATTCAGTGTAATGTGGCCATGGGAAACTTAAACCTGTCTAGGAAAAACTATTACTTCCTGTTTAGAGTCAGGGTTGAAAATAGAATTTCCATCTATGCAGCATCATCGCAGACTCTGTGAAACACCAATAAACATCCTCCTGACAATAGTCCATTAGCACAGTTCTGTTTAACCATGTAGACCTCCACAGTGGTTAGGTGACATCATTTTCATTTGGCTATGACACTAGGGGAAGAAGTCATACTTTACCATAAAATATGTATTTTCTGTAAGTCAACCTGCAAACTCAAGCATCTTTAATAACATGTATTTTATTATTAAAATTTTCTTTTATTTCTCAACATAGGCTCCATCCAGTTTAAGACACTTGTAAGTGATGATACCAGCTATTTAGTTCATCCTTACAGAAATGAGAGTCCTGGGAATTTAACCGTGTCAATGCAGTCTCTTTTACTTTATTAACTGAAGAAAAGTGGGTGAGCTTTAAAATTTTTTTTAAGATTAACAAACAAAAAGGAGTCGGAAGGAGCCAGTTCAGGATTGTAAGGTAGATGCCTCATGATTCTCTATAGAAACTCTTACAAAATTGCCCTTATTTGATGAGACGAATAAGAAGGAACATTTTCATGGTGGAGAAGGACTCTCTGGTAAATTCTCCCTTGGTGTTTTTCTGCTAAAGCTGTGGCTAACTTTCTCAAAACATGTTTGTAATAAGCAGATGTTATAATTCTTTTGCCCTCCAGAAAGTCTACAAACAAAATGCATGAGCATCCCAAAATACTGTTTCCATGACCTTTGCTCTTGACCTATTCACTTCTGCTTTGACTGGACCACTTCCACCTCTTGGTGGCCATTGCTTTGATTGTGCTTTGTCTTCAGGATCATACTTGTAAAGCCATGTTTTAATCTTTTGTTACAATTCTTAAAAGAAATGCTTCAGGATCTGGATCCCACGTGTTTAAAATTTCTATTGAAAGCTCTGCTCTTGTCTGCAGCTGATCTGGGTCCAACAGTTGTAGCAAATGTCAAGTGGAAAGTTTGCTCAGTTTTTATTTTTCAGTCAGAATTGTATAAGCTGAAACAATTGAGATGTCTATGGTGTTGGCTTTTGTTTCTGCTATTAATCATCTGTCCTCTTCAATTAGGACACAAACAAGATTAATTTTTTCCTTGCAAATTGGTGTGGATGGTCTGCTGCTGTGGGCTTCATCTTCAGCATGCTCTCATCTCTTCTTAAAATGAGTTATCCATTTGTAAACTGCTGATTTCTTTGGTGAATCGTCCAAACTTTTCGTAGAGCATCAATGATTTCACTGTGCTTTCACCCAAGATTTATCATAAATTTGACATTTGTTCTTGCTTTAATTTTAGTAGAATTCATGTTGCTCTAATAAGGGCTATTTTCAAACTGATGTCTTATGTTTCTTAGTGTCTCAAAGTACATCCTGTTCAGACATGCTGTAACAAATTAGTATGAGTTTATTTTGAGGCAAAAAATTGAAGTACATGTACAGTGCATGTACATAAAGAGATTTATTATAAGAAATCGGTTCATGTGATTATGGAGGCTGACTAGTCCCAAGATTTGAGGGGTGAGTTGGCAGGCTGGACACCAAATGGAGGGAGTGCTGGTGGTGTAGTGTATCTAAAGGCCAGCAGGCTCAAGATCCAGAAATAAGTCAATGCCCTAATTGAAAGGCAGTCAGGCAGGAGAATTCTCTTACTTGGGGGATGGTCAGCCTTTTTATTCTATTCAGTTTTTCCATTAATTGGATGAGGTCCACCCATATTAGTGAGGATAATCTGCTTTTCTCAGTCTACCAATTCAAATGTTAATCTCATCCAAAAATGCCCTCATAGACATACCCAGAATAATATTTGACTAAATATCTAAGCACCTTGTGTCCCAGTCAAGTTGACATATAAAATTAACTATTGTATATCCTCAATAATTATTGACTGGGATGTGTTAATTAGGGAGGGAGGCTTATTTGTGGACCATTTCTGAGGTCATGGACCAGGCCTATTCTTTCCAAAAAATAATTGTGCTTACTTTAATTATATAGTTGGACTATTTTAAATTGAAGGCATGACTTGGAGTTTTTTGGATTATCTCATATTGTAGATTTAGGCTATACATATGAGCAACAGCTGATTTATGACAATAGCCTCCAAGGCATATTTTTTGTTCTTCTGCTTTGCTCTTTACCAAGGCAAAATTCCTGGTAGTTGTATAGTTCTATGGGGTTGGAAGTGGTAGGCATGTTTACTTTTACTTCATTTTACACTGAGGGTACGGCACTTTGGGTATCTGGCTTTCCAGCAAAGGATTCCACTACTAAACTGTCTACCTTGGGTTTTGAACTTTATTTCTTATAATAGACAAGGCTGAGAAAAGTTAAACTTAAGTTCATTAGGTTGGGAAAATTATCTTGAGACTAAAATGTGTTCATTTCTGCTTACTTCTCTGAGTTTCTGTCTATACCAATTTTGGGACTGAAAAATTGTTAACTATCTTTCCAGCTCTCTGCATTTGAAATAAGCTTAAAATAAGCTCTGATATTTATACATTATTAAATATTCATGTTATATATTTTATCTTTATTATACTATAACATGTAGTTTAAATTCTGAAGTGTGTAACATAAATGCCATGTCCAAACATTATATTTCTCCAAACAAACATTAGTAATAATAAAGTAATCAGTAATTGGATAAAAAGCATTATTGTTTAGTACTCCATCACTTCAAGGTGCTGTATTCCTTATTTTTAGAAGATATTTTTATGTACTGTATTCTTTATTTAAGGTCATTAATAGTATACTTATCAATACCCAACTTAATTTATTAATATAGTTTTAATAAGTTTAATTGCTGATGTCTATTGAATTTCTTTGTCAACTGGATTTTTCTAAAATCTATTGAATTTCTGGAGAATTTTCTATTTTCTGGAACTATCTGAATACTTTTAAGGCCTATATTGGAAAAAATGGCTCTACTTATTGCCTCAGTTATTTTAGTAGACGAGAGAGGAGAGAATGTTGATCAGCTACTAGCTATGGTTTAAAAACATCCTCTAAAAAACTGATAAATGATGACTCTTTTCCTCAAGAAAACCACACATATATACAGAATTTTACATTCAACTAGATTTTACATTCAATATAATTTTACATTCGACTGGATATTACATTCAATCTAATCATTTTTCAGGTAGTAGATTCAGGAAGGAAATACACACATAATTAATTAGAGGTAAATTCTGGCTTAGAATGATTTCTGATATCCTAGCTTAATGCTTCCATGATGCTACAGAATAGCTAAACAAGAAAGTGGTACAGGGCATTATTAGAAGTGAAGTGGATAGACATGTAAGAGATACAAATAGAAGCAAAGGAAGCATTTAACAAACAAAATGACAAAAAGAAATAATATAGGGAATAAAATAGGTGAAAACATGATGAATCAAAGAAACGTTTTTTTTGTCCTTAAGGATAAGACCTCATTTGTACTAATGTCACAAACAAGAGGAAAATTTTTTATCAGTAATATAGTTAAAATAAATAGACTATGAATGTATGTATACATAACAATGTATACATTGTTAGAAATGAAATGTACAAGTGCAAAATTGTCTTGTGCCTCTAGAGCTTGCAAGCTAATTTATGTGGATTCAACCACAGAACTATTTGATTTCCTTCTAAATTCAAGAGAAGAAATAATCATGCTAAAAGCACATAATAAATCTAATAAATACTCATCATCTCTGTTACATACAAGGTTAGGTTTTTTTCGTTAAATATTATTAGAATATAAAACTTTGGCTTTTTTTTCCTTTGGCCTTGAAAGTTCTGCTTTCTGAAGACGTAAGGCAAATGGATCCCTCCTTCATGAAGCATGTGGAAATGTGAAGTCATCTACATCCATGGCGGAACCCCACTTGTCTCTCAAACTTGCACTGGCTATGAGCATCTCAATTTTATTTGCTGTACTAAAATGTCCTGGTATTATGATAAACACTGAACATGCACTTCCTAACAGCTGCTTTACCTCTCTCAACTGAAGTATAATAGACAGTATCTTGATTTTTTCTTAGAAAATTTTCTTTTTCTTAGACCACCTGATTCTTGGAAATATGTTCTTTAAACTCCAGATTTTGCCTTGGGTGAAGCCTGAAATTATTCTTTCTGACTTTCATTAGATTTGTTACAGCACTAACAACCATGTATTAACAAAAGGTTTCCAGCAGAGCTCATAGTCTGTTTTGCAAACAATTGGAGGACAAATTCTCTTTGAAAGATAAGAGCAAAACATCTAAGAAACAGGTTAATATAGCAACAGTCTGAAGAAGAAAGGGGACAAGATCTGACAAGGCAAATTCATTATCCATATATCAAAAAAAGGCAAATCTGTTTTCATCACCTCACGGAACAATATTTGATGTTTGCAGGCTAGGGTTAGTACAGAAGTCTGATGTTCAGCCCACTAGCCTAGGATAAAGTTCATAAACAACTGTTTCTCTTTTGTTTATTTTCTTTCTTTAACAGCTTTACTTTCACATTGCTAGTTCTATGTTCAACTTTTGGGAACACATCAGTTGGTCTTAAGGAAGCCTCATTAGCAATGTCTTCAACAGTAAGAGTTTTTTTTTTTTAAATATACTAACTCAAGTGTTAATTATAAGAAGATTTAAGTTTTGATAAGAGTTCTTGCTACTCCAGGCTTTGGCCATTTGCCCCCAACATACTTCTCATCATTCAACTGGGAGCAGGTGCATGGCCTGGAACTTGGGGAAGTCTAGGACTGCCAGGTTCAGGTCAGAGAACAATGTGAGTAGACGGTGGTTGTGGTTGTGGGAGGGGAATGAGAATGGCATGTAACAGACCATACTTGAAAGTAACCTCAAGATTACATCATCTTCTATTATACTCAAAATATGAAACCCCAGGGAAAGACTGCAACTGGCTCAAAAAAAGATTGTATTAATAACTGGCTCAGTCACTGTAACCAGAAAAAGAATACTTTAACTTGTGATGAAGCCTGGGTCAAATTTCATCTCCCATGGTTTAGAGGGTGATAAGAAAGGGCAGAGTTCACTGAGTATCAGCCCATCTTAAATCTTGTGTACAGAGAAGGTTGAGTCCTCAGAAGGTGGTAGTCTTTCCAGAGAAGAGGGAAGGATACCACCCTGAGGAAAATAGAATATAAATACCAGAATCTGCATTCAGTTTATCCCTGTAAAGATATGGCATTGCTTTCTTTTGAGGTTTAGTATGGACCTTGATTCTTCTTGCTGATACATGTCATGACGTTAGAAGCCTAACTGGAGTGTCCCATCATCCAGGAAAGGGACAGTGTAACTTAACTGTTTACAACCTCAATGCCTTACTCAAAAGCTACTCAGTAAATATTTAGCAATAATGACAAAGTTTTAGTTGGTGTAAGCCAGTTTCAGTTTACACTTAACTTCTTTACATTATCTACTTCTGCTAACAATTTTTGCCTCAAGTAATTGTGACAGGGTGTATTGTTCCTAGATAGTTAATCTGTGTCGGCTTTAGTAGAGCTTTTTTGGTTCATTAGACGGTGCTTGATCTCTCCTGACAGGTTCAATCCTATAATACTCTTCCCCAAAGGCTTTACTTAAAGTCTAGATATCTCTATACATCACAGAGGTTCAAGTTCATGACCTCACTCTTTAGTAGGCTCATTGAAATTCCAAGGATCCTGATATTTGTTACATAGGAGTCTTCTATGGGAGTTATTATTAAAGGCTTTGCAGCTCTTGGCCAGAACTTTTATACATGTGAGGTCACAGAATGTGTTTATTATCTTAATGGTTATGTTCCTTTTCTTTCCATTGATCCTCAGGAGTAAGAGATCATATGCATAAATCCATTTTGTCCTACATTGCCTGTGATTTATAAGTAAATTAAGTGAAACAATTTTACTATTGTGGAGAAAGCTCTACATTAAACAAAAACTAGTGGTTGTTTCTTTCCTTGATAGTTACTCTTCATTTAACTGGATCCATTTTACCATGTTTAGTTTACAATGGTAATAGTGAAAATATATATTTCCATATATCAAGTATGTGCTTATATACTTGATGAATATATGAATATAATATATTCATAATATGAATATAATATATTCATATTATGAATATATATATTCACATAAAAATAATTAGAAGGAATTTGCCAGGTCAATAAAAATCTTCCCCAAGATAGTTTCATATGGAAGTAAATACTTAATAGCATATGGAAGATCTGAAATGTAATTGCATCCACAACATTTTCTACATGTTTTGTTTTATGCTTCAGCCAATATTTTGTTTAGACATCTGTAATAATTATCACCATAAACTTTGACAATCATTCCATTTCTCACAAGTTTTAGTTACATAATTTTTCAAGACACACTTTCTTCTCTCTATAATGGACCTGACTTGCAGGATTGTTGTAAAACTTAAATTAAAAGAGTATATATAGTAATATGTAGAGTAATATACAGTGATATATTATTCTGAATCCATGTTCTTTCTAGTTGCTACCAGATTATATTAACCTTTATAGCAAAAGTTCTTGAAGAAGTATTTTATTAAAAATTTTGCATCTTCACTTCCTATATTTCCATTCTGTCCTCAATCCACTCCAGTTAGGCCTTTTTCCTCACCAATCCACAGAACCCTCTCTTGACGTGGCCATCAGATATCTCTCTCTTGCCAATTCCAGGGTCAACTCTCTCCTCCTCTAGCTTTACCTTCTAGCAGAATTTGATACATTTGATTACCACTTCCTTCTTGAAACATATTCTTCTCTTAGTGATTAACAGGTTGGTAAATTTTTTCTGTATAAAGTCAGATAAATATTTTAGGCTTTATGGATCAAATAGCTTTTGTTGCAACTGCTTAACTCAGTTATTGTAGCACAAAAGCAGCTATCAACAATATGCAAATGAGTAAGTATGGCTATCTTCCACTACAACTTTGCTCATAGACACTGTTTTGAATTTCATATAAATTACATGTGTCAATAAATATTAGTCTTCTTTCAGTGTGTAAAAATGTAAACACATTCTTCTTTCAAATATTTCAAGATGTAAAACACATTCTTGTATGGCTGTTGTATGGCTCAACAGCCATACAAAACAGCAGACAGGATTTGACATGTGAGCTTTAATTTACCAACCCCAAACTGGATGTATTGGCTAGGACAATATGTGTCTTCTTTTTCCTCCTATTATACTTGTCGCTCCTTCTTAGTCTTTTTTGCTATGTATCACCTTTAAATGTTGCAGTGCCTCCAGGTTCACTTCTTTTTTTTTTTTTTTATACTTTAAGTTTTAGGGTACATGTGCACAATGTGCAGGTTGGTTACATATGTATACATGTGCCATGCTGGTGTGCTGCACCCATTAACTCATCATTTAGCATTAGGTATACCTCCTAATGGTACCCTTTTCTCTATTCACACTTTCTCCACTTGGAAATCTAATACTCATATGACACTGGTAACCTATCCAGATCAAGAATTTTTATTATCTCCCTTAAATGCTGTATTAGTCTGTTCTCTCACTGCTATAAAGAACTATCTGAGACTGAGTAATTTATAAAGAAAAGAGGTTTAATTGACTCAGAGTTCCACAGGCTGTACAGGAGACATGGCTGGGGAGGCCTCAGGAAACTTACGATCATGGCAGAAGGGGAAGGGGAAGCAGGCATGATCTTCACATGGCCAGCAGGAGAAAGAGCAAAGGGGGAAGTGCTACACACTTTCAAACAACCAGATCTCATAAGCACTCTATCACAAGAGCAGCAAGGGGAAAGTCTGCCCCATGATTCAGTCACCTCCCATGAGGCCCATCCTCCAACATGGGAATTACAATTTGACATGGGATCTGGGTGGGGACACACAGCCAAACTGTATCAACTGCTATTCCCCAAGTTTTTCTCATCTGGGTAAGTGGTCATGCCATTTACTCAGTTGCTCAAGACAAGAACCCAAGTATCATCTTTTATTGCCTCTCTTTCATTTATACTCGCATCCAGATCACAAACAAGCCCTATGAGTTTTATCACTTGCCACTATTCACCAATTCCAAGTCTGCTCAAGCCCTTTTACATTTCTTGTGTGGATTACTTTGTTAGCTTCCTGACTCAAGCCCCTGTATTTATGCTTAACTTTTGGCATTCTGTTCTCAATTGTGCTACCAGATTGACAATTTCAAAATGTAAAATAGCATTATTCTCTTGCTCAAAATTCTCTAATGGTTTTTCATCTTAATCAGAATAAATTCCAAAATCTATACCATAATCAACAGCACTTCCCAGGATGTGACTGCCAATAGCTATGAATTCATCTCCCATCACTCTCTCTTTTCTTTTCTTTTTTTTTCTTTTTTATATTTAATTTAATTTAAAGTTCTAGGATACATATGCAGGACATGCAGGTTTGTTACATAGGTAAACGTGTGCCATGGTGGCTTGCTGCACCTATCAACCCATCACCTAGGTATTGAGCCCCACATGCATTAGCTATTTATCCTTATGCTCTCCCTCCCCCTGTCCCCCTGACAGGCCACAGTGTGTGATGTTCCTCTCCCTGGGTCCATGTGTTCATTGTTCAGCTCCCACTTATAAGTTAGAACATGCAATGTTTGGTTTTCTGTTCCTGTGTTAGTTTGCTGAGGATAATGGCTTCTAGCTCCATCCGTGTCCCTGAAAAGGACATGATCTTGTTCTTTTTTATGGCTGTGTAGTATTCCATGATCACCCTCTCCTTTCTATTGGCTCTATTCCAGCCATGCTGGCTTATTTAAAGTCTTTTCCCCAAGTACTTCACTTGGCTTTCTCCCCCTCTTCCTGCAGGTATCTGCTCAATATTACTTTCTCAGAAAGACTCCCTGACATGCTACCTAAAAAAGTGCATACCTCTTTTATGTTCCATTTTTTTACTGTTTGTTTTTTCTTTATTAAACTCACACTTTCATAAATGATAGTAAATGCTTGTATGCTTTATTACTGGTTACATCTCCCTCTAGAAAATCAGCTTCATGAGAAGACCTATCTATATCTCTTTACATCTGTATCTCTGTGCCTAGAATAGATTCTACTTATAAACAAATGAAACTAGACAACCTAATTGGTTTATTGTTTGATTGATTAATGAATATGAGGGAAAAAGCCAGCACAAAATTTTGTAATAGTAAATTTTAATGAAACTTGATTGAATATCCTATTTGATATGTAAGGATATTCCCAGTATATATTTTTGAAGATTATAGTCTATGAGCTGACTATGTCTATCAACCAAGGACTTGATTACTTTGCATGTGTTGCTAATGTACTTTGTCTTTTATAATTATTTATTTTATGTAGAATGCTGCATACACACTCTCTCTCTCACACACACACACACACACACACACACACACACACAAATTTGACTTTCTCAGACTGCTGAAGTATTTTCCTGGGCACTGTATTAAAAAAGAACATTCACCGAACTTTTAAGGATGAAGCTGTAAATTTAGTTTAAATTGTATGCTTATATTTTGTTAAATATTTTTAATACAGAAATATATCTAAATATATCATAGTTAATAAGTTTCAAAATGTGATATATTGAATATGTATTGATATATATTATTGCAGAATAATGCAATATAATCAATTGCATTCTCTTAAATAGAGTTAAATGCCTTTATCTTAAACATAGTCAACTACATTACTCTGAAATTATGTTTTTTTGTATGCAGTTTCATCCTACCTAATTACTTTGTCCTTTCAAGTTTTTATTTTGTATACTTTTTTACAATGAAAAAGAAAAACATAATTTTAAAAAATTACTAAGGACTAAAATGACACCAGAATAATGAAAATAATGAATAAATTCTATTCATCAGCCTGAAAAGCAGATTGCCAATAATACTGCTATTATGATATATGATATAAGCCTATTCAAGTATTTTACATTTTAAAAATATACATATATTACTAAAATAGTGTACACAGTAAAAGGTAGAATAGTCTCATCAAACCCAGATGACAAGTTTTTTCTCTTCATTAAAAACCTGCTATGAAAAGTTCTTATCTTTTCTTGCCTCTGCCCTCAACAAGGCTTAATAAAGTAAAGTTTGGGCTAAGGGCAAGAACAACGCCTCCTCCAAGCAGCAAGTCATTCTTTAAGGAATGGGTCCACATTCAAGAGAATTCAGACAGTTTATCTTGCCCTGGCAATCTGCCCTGCCTAACCAAGTGTTGATCCCTATCTTTTCTTCCCGTGCCCTAGATGACCAGTGAGCAACTTATTTCATTCCATTGTAAATCACTGAGTTAGGGGGAAAATTTGATTCCATCTGCAGCATCTACTCAGGTATCTTCATGTTGTCCCTGTGGGACTTGGAAGGCAAGGTGAACTGACATAAATTGATATTCATGAAGCTTGGTGTGCCATCAGTAATAAAATATTCTGTCTCTGATCCAGGAATCTCATGTTATGTTATTAAAAGTAAGAGAAACTAACTCTAGGTAATTAAAGAAGTTGAAAGGTAAGGTACTTACTAGAAGTACAGTAAATGGTTCACAGAATTGAAGAAAAGCTGAGTAGCAAAACCTCAAGAAAGACAAGTCTAGGAATTTCAACAGCAGAAACCCTTAAATAGTCACTTTCTAATACTGACATGAAATTAATCACCATTTTTAATTAGCCATTTCATATTTTGCATATTTTTACAATCAAATTTCTGAAAGAAATTATATGATTAGCTTTGATCACATGCCCAACCCCAGTATGGCAAGGGGAGGTAGGAACAAAAAATTGTCAATCCCACCATTATTTTTATTGAAGTAAGTTTTAATACAGCTATTTCATTTCTTGATTTATTTATTTTATTTTATTATTTTTATATTTTATTGTCATTTCAACAGTTTTTAAGGAACAAGTAGTGTTTGGTTACATGAAAAAGTTATTTAGTGGCGATTTCTGAGATACTGGTGCACCCGTCACCCTGGCAGTGTATGCTGTACCCAGTGTGTAGTCTTTTGTCCCTCACTCTCCTCCCACACTTCCCCCTGCGTCCCCAAAGTCCACTGTATCATTCTTATGTCTTTGTTTTCTCATAACTTAGCTCCTACTTATAAGTGAGAGCATAAGATGTTTGGTTTTCTATTCCTGAGTTACTTCGCTTAGAATAATGGTCTCCAACTCCATCCAGCATTGCTGCAAATGCTATTATTTTGTTCCTTTTTATGGCTGAATAATATTCCATGGTGTCTGTACCATAGATAGATAGATAGATAGATAGATAGATAGATAGATAGATAGATAGATAGATATAAAATCACACTTTCTTTATCCACTCGGTTGATGGGTATTTGGGCTGGTTTAGTATTTTTGCAATTGTGAATTGTGCTGCTATAAACATGCATGTGCAAGTGTCTTTTTCATATAATGACTTTTTTTCCTCTGGGTAGATACCCAGTAGTGAGACTGCTGGATCAAATGGTACATCTACTTTTGGTTCTTTAAGGAATCTCCATACTGTTTTCCATTGTGGTTGTACTAGTTTACATTCCCACCAGCACATCCACACCAACATCTATTATTTTTTAATTTTTTAATTATGGCCATTCTTGTAATAGTAAGATGGTATCGCATTGTGGTTTTGATTTACATTTCCCTGATCATTAGTGATGTTGAGCATTTTTTCATATGTTTGTTGGCCATTTGTGTATCTTCTTTTGAGAATTGTCAATTCATGTCCTTAGCCCACTTTTTGATGGGATTATTTGGGTTTTTTCTTGCTGATTTGTTTGAGTTCCTTGTAGAATCTGGATATTAGTCCTTTGTCAGATGCACAGTTGGTGAAGATTTTCTCCCGTTCTGTGGGTTGTCTGTTTACTCTGCTTATTGTTTCTTTTGCTGTGCAGAAGCTTTTTAGTTTAATTAAGTCCCATCTATTGTCTTTCTTTTTGTTGCATTTTCTTTTGGGTTCTTGGTCACGAACTCTTTGTCTAAGCCAATGTCTAGAAGAGTTTTTCTGATGTTATCTTTTAGAATTTTTCAGGTCTTAGATTTAAGTCTTTGATTCATTTTGAGTTTATCCTTGTATAAGGTGAGAGATAAGGATCCAGTTCGTTCTACATTTGGCTTGCCAATTACCCCAGCACCATTTGTTGAATAGGGTGTTTTTGTCTGTTTTGTCAAAGATTAGTTGGCTGTAAGTATTTGGCTTAACTATTTATTTTATATGTAGGAAATAAACCAACAAAAAATTACCAGGTATAGACCCATAGACAAACATGCCACTATTTCACTCTTCTCTTACTTTGCATATGCTATTCCTTTTGATTAGAAGTCTCTTCTCTTCTTTGTTCACCAGGCAAGTTTTTACTTGTTTAGAAAGACAGTCATACACACCTTGTCACCTCTTGCCTAGCCGCATTAAAGTGACTGTGTACTGCGTAGAAGGTGGAATCTTCTCATCAAACCCAGATGACAAGTTTTCCTTCTTCATTAAAAAACAAGCTATGAACAAGTTCTTATCTTTTCTTGTTTCGCCATTTCTTTTCAAAGAGATTAAAAAGCCCTCACAGCCTTTGCTAGGCAGGTCTCTTTGCTTGGAAATACCTTTCCCTTTCTGGGCTTGATGTGTGCTTTTTTGTTATGCTTAAGAGTGTGGTATCTGGTCAACCCCACTGATGTATCTGTTCCCAGTGGGAAGGGAATGGGATTCTCTACCTGCAGCACAGGAAGGGTGCATGCAGACCATCCCCCTGCATCAGCTGTAAGGCAAGACTGCTGGCCCTGGGAACTGACCCTAATAACTGAAGATGATCTTGCTGCGTCTCTTGGCTTTGTCACTGGATGCACTGTCCATCTAGTGACTATGTGACTTACCTTTCTTGGTGACCCCAACACCTGCAAGCAAGGCAGTGAGTTGACATCCTAGGAGTGCTGCTCCTGGTGGTAGGTATTATACTGTTTGCTGTCCTCCATGAAGTGGGTCTCCTCGGTTGGAGGTGGTAGCAGGTGTCACTTGCTTAACATTGCTCATTGTTTAGAACTAGACGGTTGTTCACTGCTCAATGAAATAAAAGAGAATACAAACAAATGGAAGAACATTCCATGCTCATGGGTAGGAAGAATCAATATCATGAAAATGGCCATACTGCCCAAGGTAATTTATAGGTTCAATGCCATCCCCATCAAGCTACCAATGACTTTCTTCACAGAATTGGAAAAAACCACTTTAAACTTCCTATGGAAGTGAAAAAGAGCTCGCATTGCCAAGTCAATCCTAAGCCAAAAGAACAAAGCTGGAGGCATCATGCTACCTGACTTCAAACTATACGACAAGGCTACAGTAACCAAAACAGCATGGTACTGGTACCAAAACAGAGATATAGACCAGTGGAACAGAACAGAGCCCTCAGAAATAATGCTGCATATTTACAACTATCTGATCTTTGACAAACCTGGCAAAAACAAGAAATGGGGAAAGGATTCCCTATTTAATAAATGGTGCTGGGAAAACTGGCTAGCCCTACGTAGAAAGCTGAAACTGGATACCTTCCTTACACCTTATACAAAAATTAATTCAACATGGATTAAAGACTTAAACGTTAGACCTAAAACCATACAAACCCTAGAAGAAAACCTAGGCAATACCATTCAGGACATGGGCATGGGCAAGGACTTCATGTGTAAAACACCAAAAGCAATGGAAACAAAAGCCAAAATTGACAAATGGGATCTAATTAAACTAAAGAGCTTCTGCACAGCAAAAGAGGCTACCATCAGAGTGAACAGGCAACCTACAGAATGGGAGAAAATTTTTGCAATCTACTCATCTGACAAAGGGCTAATATCCAGAATGTACAATGAACTCAAACAAATTTACAAGAAAAAAACAAACAACCCCATCAACAAGTGGGCAAAGTATATGAACAGACACTTCTCAAAAGAAGACTTTTACGCAGCCAAAAGACACATGAAAAAATACGCATCATTAGTGGCCATCAGAGAAATGCAAATCAACACCACAATGAGATACCATCTCACACCAGTTAGAATGGCAATCATTAAAAAGTCAGGAAACAACAGGTGCTGGCGAGGATGTGGAGAAATAGGAACGCTTTTACATTGTTGGTGGGACTGTAAACTAGTTCAACCATTGTGGAAGTCAGTGTGGCGATTCCTCAGGGATCTAGAACTAGAAATACCATTTGACCCAGCCATCCCATTACTGGGTATATACCCAAAGGATTATAAATCATGCTGCTATAAAGACACATGCACACATGTTTATTGCGGCACTATTCACAATAGCAAAGGCTTGGAACCAACCTAAATGTCCAACAATGATAGACTGGATTAAGAAAATGTGGCACATATACACCATGGAATATGATGCAGCAATAAAAAATGATGAGTTCATGTCCTTTGTAGGGACATGGATGAAGCTGGAAACCATCACTCTCAGCAAACTATCGCAAGGACAAAAAACCAAACACCGCATGTTCTCACTCACAGGTGGGAACTGAACAATGAGAACACGTGTACACAGGAAGGGGAACATCACACACTGGGGCCTGTTGTGGGGTGGGGGGAGTGGGGAGGGATAGCATTTGGAGTTATACCTAATGTTAAATGACGAGTTACTGGGTGCAGCACACCAACATGGCACATGTATACATATGTAACTAACCTGCACGTTGTGCACATGTACCCTAAAACTTAAAGTATAAAAAAAAAACAACTAGATGGTTGTTAACCCTATTCTTTCTTCTACTGTAGTACTTTTACTTAACTGTAGAACCCAACCTATGTTAATCTTTTCCAAAATTCTTTGTTTAAATGTCTGTATACACTAATAGGTTGACATTTCTTTGGATAGGTCTATACTTTATTTATTAATATATTGCTAACACCTACTCTGGTTCCTGACATCTAAAAAGAGTTAGGTACAGGCTGATTAAATGATTAAGTAAAGGTTGATTAAATGAGTTAATAAATAGATAAGTAGATGAATACATGAATTAGAGGTTACAGAGAAGCAAGGAGGCCTGGATGCTTGTTCTTTGGAAGTTGTTCCACACAATCTCCATTTTGGTTTTTGTTTTCAGGTCTTTTCTTTTCACCTATCTCTGTACTACTCTCTAGAACACTGTTGTTTTCTTGCTCTTTACGACTTAATTCTAACTTTAATACTCAACTCCTCTTGAGAAATGATACAGTCAGATTTTTATTTTAAATGCCAATTTCTTCCTCATTTCTAATATCAAGTTTTCTGACATACTGCTCCCACAGTTCTATCACATTTGGTTCACAACACTTTAAGAATTTATAGTCCACACTACATTCAAGCCCATAAAGCTCACTTAACTAGTTATTGGCTAAGACTGTCTTTCAACCTGTCATGTACTAAGAGTTTCCTTTGCTTCACTGTACTAAATACTACCTCATAAACTGAAAAAAGTAACATCTCTTCAAAATTGCTTGAGTTCAGGCATAATTGGGGCTATCTGCTTTGTTATGTAAATCAAAGCAAATGCCTAACTTTTTCCCTGAGATCTTAATAAGCAGAACAAGGAAGTATATGTTTAGGAGGTATAAGAACACATGAATACCCATGAAAAATTTTACTCCCTATTAATGTCTTTTGAGAATTCTGCCATGAAGTTTTGTTTCAAATCATTTTGTCAATACTAAACAAGGCGCTGTTTTTTTTTTTCTGCTTTAGTTACCTTCTTTGTGAAACTCAAGGAAAAAAATTATATGCTACAATGTCACCTCTCTTTTAAGACTCATAAAGGAGAAAATATTTTCTTCCTTGTTTGCTTTTTTTTAAATAATTGAAACACTCGCTCTCTCTTGCTAATTGAGCCCATTCACCTGTGACAAATGCAAGCTGTGCTACAGTTAGGACAATACAAGTTTGTCAGCAGGGTCACTCACAGAATGCTCTTTGCCAGGGAAAATTTGCTGATGTTCCAGAATATTCTTAGTTATTAAATTCTAGCAGGTGACCATAAACAAATAGCTTCATTTATTCAAGAAAGGTAAAAAGTAGAGGGGGGAGTGAAGATGTGACAATTGCTATTTTCATCCTTTTGCTAAGTCAACCAAATTCTGTACAGCATAGCAAATCCATTATACATGATACATATTTTCTCTGGCAGAAACATACTGGATTAAAGCTTCTTGCACATTTGTTAACTTTGTTCTCTATGTTGCTCCTTTTTGGAGGTTCACCTGGAGCAACGATGTAAGGAGAGAAAAATGTCAGATACAAATATAATGGAATTATGGCTCTTCACTATAATGATGCTGCCTGTCTTTCATAAATTTATTCTCCGACTGTGTACCCTTTCATAGACAATTTATGCCACATATTTATTTATTACTTAAGCTTGCATCTTGAACACATATTATGATTCCTGACATCAGAAAAGTGTGGAGAGTTTTGTTACTTGAATGAGGAAATGGATGAATGAATGAATGAATGAATGAATGAATGAATGAATATGAATGAATTATTTCTAACTAGTCAAAAAGCTCTTTGATGTTAGTTTCTGGGATTAACCTTTTTTTTATATTTCTAAATAGCTTAGCAAATAACCTTTCTTATCTTTCTTTACTAACAGTAGTTCTGAAACAAAAAAGGTATGGAATAAAAATAAATTGATTATACTATTTATAAAACATTGTTTTTATTTCTAAAAATCTTATTGGGTCACTACATAGTCTACTGAAGACTTTAAAGCCTTTATAAGCATAGGTCAACTCTTTCTGAGTAGCCAGGGACACATCATTTTGTCCGTTTGGATAGTAAATGAAAAAGGCGAAATTAATCGAGAGAAACTAAAATACATTGCATTCCTCTGAATAACAGATAGCAACTCCGAGAAAGAGTTATTGTTTTTTTTCAGATTGCATTATTTGATGTACTGAGGAAGCCCTACAGGCTTGAATGCAGTGGTGCGATCTCGGCTTACTGCAACCTCCACCTCCCGGGTTCAAGCAATTCTCCTGCCTCAGCCTTTCATGTAGCTGGGATTACAGGCGCCTGCCACCACACTCGGCTAATTTTTTGTATTTTTAGTAGAGATGAGGTTTCATCATGTTGGCCAGGATGGTCTTGATCTCTTGACCTCGTGATCTGCCCGCCTCAGCCTCCCAAAGTACTGGAATTATAGGTGTGAGCCACCGCGCCCGGCCCAAATACCTTCTTATACAAATAGGGATAGTAAATGAGACTTCAGTATTCATTGTCAAATTGATAGTTGAAATACTAGGTTTTGGAATTGGTTGGGAAAGAGCATGACTTCTCTTAACACCATTTCTTCAAAACCCATCATCACTAACTACCCTCACTCAACACAAACATGTTCAGGGGCTGAACTGCCCAGGTGTATCACAGCAAGGATGCAGGGACAGGGAGTAAGAACATTAGTATTAAACCACATGATCTCACCTTCATGTGGAATCCAATAAAGCCGAACTCAAAGCAGAGAGTAGAATGATAATTGCCAGGGGCAAGGTTGGAAGAAGACTGGGGAGATGTTGGCCAAAGGATACAAAGTTTCAGTTAGATAGGAGGAATAAGTTCAGGATATCTGCTGTATAATGTGATGACTACAGTTAATAATAATGTATTGGATTTCTGAAAATTGCTAAGAAATTAGATTTTAAGTGTTCTCACCATAAAAATAAGTATGAGAGATAATATATGCTATTTAGTTTGATTTAGCCATTCTGCAGTATATAAATCTTTCAAAACAATATGTTGTTCATAATAAATATATGCAATTTTTGTCAATTAAAAATTCATTAATTTTAAAGAGAAAGTTAATGTTGAATCCAGAATTTCTACCTTCACTCTCAGTAGTCCCTACTGGGCTATGTCTACTTCAAAGAGAGCAGAACATGGGGAAGAAACTTCTTTTATTTTCCCTGGGTTGGAGAAGAGTCAAATAGGTATGAATTATGTTTTTTAAAAAATTAAATAAAAAAAGAACCTGGGTAGGATATAGGAAAGATGGAGACAAGTCAAGAGAGGGTAAGTAACTGAATGGAATTTTATACTTTTGAAACATGGAATTCATTTGTGATGCCTATCTGGTTACTATATTTAATTCATCATTAAGTTCTATCTATTTTTCTCTCATACATACCTCTCAAGTCTGTCTATTTCTTTCAACTATATCTGCAAACACTCAGCCTATTCTACCAAGCTGCCACCTCTCTTGGCTGGGCAGCTGCTGAAATCTCAGTACTGGTGTTTCTGCTTCCACCCCTGCTTTCCTGCATTCAGTGGGATGGCCTGGGGGCTGTCTTATGCAGACTCTCAAGAGCCAATTGTGTCCATCCCTTTCCAGCTCCACGTTCAGTGACAAGTTTCTAGCTTGAAATTGGCCATGGAAAGAGTATTTAGACGACATGCATTGGGAAATGCTACAAATTGGGGCTTTTTAATACATGTTTTACTAGATAGCTAATCGTTAAACATTTACTGATGCCTCACTGCTTATAATTCATTCTCCATATAGCTGTAACAGTAATATTTTTAAATCATAAATTATATCAAGTCATTCCTCTGCTTTAAAACTGACAGTGACATGCTATAAGTTCCAAATTACTTAGATCCTCTGGATCCTAGGATTGTCTGACCTCAGCCTACCCCACACCCTTGCTTTCTTCCACTACCCATTTTACTAAAATCCAGCCAACCTGGGCTGCTTTTTGAGCCTCTAACCTCCCAAGTTTATGGTCTTTCCATGTCCAGGCTGCTCTTTTCCTGGATCTTTGCATGACTAAGTCGTTCTTACCATTTAGGTCTTATGACAAAGGTTACCGCCTCAGAGAAGTCTTCCCTGACCACCCTGTCATAAGTTGTTTCTATCATATTGCCTTTTCTTTATAATATTTATTATATGAAATGTTGCATATATCTTTGCTTTCCATCTCTTCATTATAATGTGCACTTTGTAAGAACAAGGGTCATACCTTCTAGTTCGTTTGGCTATATTACTGCATCTAAAAGAATGCCTGGTACAAAATGGCAATTCAACAAATTTATCGAATTAATTAATAATTAGATGGATGTATGTAATTCACAAAGATGCAGTATAATATCTGACATAACTATTTATTTTAATAGATGAATGAAAGAGTGAAACATTAAATATATCAGTTTAAGCACTATTGAAATATCATTTGAATCTTATCCTATCCTCTACTTATGTATCTATAATAACCCTGAAGGGGAACAACCATGCCCAGTGATCATGGTGAGAAGCTTGTGGTTGGAAGCTTGGGAAATGCCTTTCAATTTCCTGGGGGAAAATTTTAAGATAGCCACAGAACTTTAATCTCATGTTATTGATTCTGCAAACTTGGGGGTTTTAGAGGCTGAAATAATCTGTGCCCTGAAGTTTAGGCTGTTTTGTTACCTAAAACATTATTTTTAAGAACTCTGTTTTAGTTTTGAATTGAGACAGGAGATTTTTTTTTAAAGTGTCTTATAAGAATATGCATATTTTTAAAAAAGCATTTAGAATCTCCATAAGATTTCATGACATTCATCTCACTTTTGCTGCTTTAATGAGTTTGATAAAAGCTAAAATGCACACTGCAGTAGATTTTGGAATATAACCCCATGATCCATTGAACCATCCAGATATAGAAAGAGTGTATCAACGTCCAGGAATGTGAGCCTTGCCCCTCATTCTAATGTTGTCCACTTTTGACAACATTAGACCACTCACTCTTTGATGCATTCCTCACCCACTGTTCCTCCCTTAGGAAAATTCCCTTCTGACTTGCAACTTTGGCTGGACTCACTCTCTGTCAACATCTGCCACTTTAACATTGAAGAAAATAAACTCCCTCCGGGGTGCTCTCTCCCCGCCTTGCACAGTGACCTACACTTCCATCATTTTTAATGTGGAAAGTTTTTTGTCATTGAGGTACTTGGAACCTATCACAAAGTCTGTCATTGCCACTAATATTGTTTTCATTGTTTTAAAATAACAAAATAGAAGAAAAAGCATCTGCTTTGCGACAGATGGGCATGTTAATCTTAGTTTAAAAGACTGCAGAAAACCCTAAAATTTTACAGACTTTTCTGAGATTTTTGACTGATACAGATCCACTTATCTAGTTGAAATACAGACTAGATTTGGCAAGATATTGGTATACAAGGAATATTTCCTTATATATTTTGTTACTCATTTATCTCTGACCCTATGACTTGGAAATGCAAGTCATGGCTGTTGTTAAGAATGTAAATCAATACAGTCATTATGAAAAAACACTATGGAGGTTCCTTAGAAAATTAAAAATAGAACTACCATATGATCCAGCAATTCCATATCCCAAGAAAATGAAATTAGTATGTCAAACAGGTAACTTGCACACCCATGTTCATTGCTTCATTCACAATAACCAAGATATGAAATCAACCTAAGTGTCCATCAGTGGATGAATAAAGAAAATGTGGCATATACACACAATGGAATACTATTTAGCCTTAGAAAAAGAAATTTTGTCACTTGCAATACATGAATTAACCTGGAAGGCATTATGCTCATTGAAATAAGCTAGGAACAGAAAGACAAATATTGCATGATCTCACTTAAATGTAGAATCTAGAAAAGTCGGATTCATGGAAGCAAAGAGTAGAATTGTGGTTACCAGGGGCTGATGATGGGGTGGAGATTGGGGAGATGTGGGTTAAAGGATACAAAAATTTGTGAATACAAAATTCAGTTAGATAGGAGTAATAAACTCAGGAGATCTATTGTAAAACATGGTGATTATAGTTAGTAACAATGTGTTATATAGTTGAAAATCACTGAGAGTAGACCTTAAATGCCTCTGTCACAAAAAAATAAGTATGTGAGGTAACAGATATGTTAATTATCTTGACTTAGCCATTTCACAATGAATTCGTATATTGAAACATCATGTTGTACCCCATAATCATATATAATTTTTGTCAGCCAAAAGAAAAAAAGAAGAAAGAAGAAAGAAGAAAGAAAGAAAGAAAGAAAGGGAACTGATTCAATTAACAGTAAAAAATGAAAAAAGTCATGACCAGAGACTTAAAGTGTTTATTCTCTAAAAGTTAGAACTCAGTATTCAGCATACAAACATTGCTGGTCAGGGAAACTGGAATATTGATTTCAATATTTTTAAAGTTCAGATATCCATGATACTTTTTTCTTCTATCTCTGATTAAAGACAACATCAGTAGTAAATGCTTAGATAGCATTAGTGTGTTCTCACACTGCTATGAGTAAATACCAGAGACTGGGTAATTTATAAAGGAAAGAGGTTTAACTGACTCACAGTTCTGAATTGCTAGGGAGGCCTCAGGAAACTTACAGTCATGGCGGAAGTCAAAGGAGAAGCAGACACCATCTTCACAGGTCAGCGGGACAGAGGAGTGCAAGCAGGGGAAATGCCAGACACTTATAAAACGATCAGATCTCATGAGGCTGACTCACCATCAGGAGAACAGCATGGGGGAAACCGCCCCCATGAACCAATTACCTCCACCCTTGGTCCTGCCCTTGACACATGGGGATTATGGGGATTACAATTCAAGATGAAAATTTGGGTGGGGACACAGCCAAACCATATCAGATGGTATTTACTATGCCAGTTCATTGCTCTGAGTGCTTTGCATAGATTCATAATATTATCCTCCCAGTAATTCTATCAAGTAGGTACTACTACTGTTCCCATTTGCAAATGGGAAAACTGAGAGTCACAGAGTTTAATTAACTTGCCCAATATCACACAGCTATTAGGTAGGGTATCTAGATTTGAACCTAGACACTTGAGGTTCAGAGCCCCTGCTCCCCTGTTTAAGCACGATGCAATCCTGCCTCCGAAAAGTTGGCTATGCTACCTAGTGCAAAATGGAGCAAGAGATTGTAGAATACTTACACTTCCATGCTCTGTTAATCTGGACTCTTGTGTTCTCAGGACTCAAAGATACAATGGAAAAAGCTTTAGATTGAGAATAAAAGGACCATGATTCTATTCCTGAAGTTTCTACTAACTTATCTTCTGACCTGTACAATCAGAAAGTCAGTTATTCATCTGTGAAGTGAGAGGGTTGAACTAGAGCATCAGTGTTCAAACTCTGCTCCTGGAAAGCTTGGGATTTTGCAGAGGTATGGCAGGGTCTGCTTTTCAGATAAGGGAGTGCCAGGGATGAAGAGTTCCTTCTTGACATTGGGAAGTGTTCCTTCTTTTTGCCTTCTGTCATGTTTTATCTTATTGAATGGGTTCAAAATAGATCTTGAAGAGGCAGTGTTTAAATCTGAAGCCACCTCCTTTATTACAATCCCTTCTAGCAGTCTGGCCTTTCTTTCCGGTGTCTATTAATTAATCTGATAATTTTATCACCTACCAGCAAGAGCTAAGGGTGGCTTCAGAATAGCATGCTTTTTCATGGACCTTTGGAAAGACTGTTCTTGCTTTCTTGTTCAAACTTTCTGACTCTAATGATAAAACCTGAAGCTAAATGGAATAGGGAGGTATTTTTATAGCAACCAAGAAGGGTCTTTCAAATTATAGCACATAAATGGTGTATTCTGTTCTCACACTGCTAATAAAGACATACCTGAGACTGAGTAATTTATAAAGGAAAGAGATTTAATGGACTCACAGTTCCTCATGGCTGGGGAGACCTCACAATCATGGCAGAAAGCAAGGAGGAGCAAGTCACATCTTACATGATGGCTGCAAGGAAAGAGAGAGAATGAGAACTAAGCGAAAAGGGTTTCCTCTTATAAAACCATCAGATCTCATGAGACTTATTCATTACTATGAGAACAGTATGGGGGAAACTGCTCCCATGATTCAATTATCTCCCATCGAGTCCCTCCCACAATATATGAGAATTATGGGAGCTACAATTCACGATGAGATTTGGGTGGGGACATAGCCAAACCATATCAAATGGCTACCCATTCGATCTGTACATGTTCCAAATGTGTGGTCATAAACACATGCATGTGCACACATGCATGCAAACAATGCAGCTAAGTATTTTGCTCTTTACTCATTATAAGGAACACATATATACACAAATGCACACTTCTTTTCCTACTAGCTCATGGTGATCCCATCCGCCTTTATCCATGATACTCATCAGCAGACCCACCCTAGTTAGGTTCATGTATAAAGCACTTGGGTTACTACCTTACACTGTAATACAAAAGGAAAAACAGTTATATAAGAGGTATTTATTAAGAAGATGAGACAGAATTCCCTATTCTGAATCTATCAATCACAGCCACTTTAATAACTTAATATGCATCTCAGGGTAGTAAAATTTGTTTTATTATTATTTTTTATTTGTATAGATTTAGAGGTACAGGTGAAGTTGTGTTGCATGGATAAATTGTGTAGTTGTGAAGTCTGGGCCTTTAGCATACCCATCACCCAAATAGTGTACATTGTACCAAATAGGTAGTATTTCATCTCTCACTCCCCTCCCACCTGTCCACCTATTGGAGTCTCTAATGATTATTATTCTAATTTGTATGTCCATGTGTACCCATTATTTAGCACCCACTTATAAGTGAGAACGTGTGGCTTCTGACTTTCTTCTTCTGAGTCATTAGGCTAGCGGCCTCTAGTTCCATCCACGTTGCTGCAGAAGACATAATTTCATTCTTTTTTATGGCCAAGTAATATTCCATGGCATCTATATACCACATTTTAAATCCAATCATTTGTTGGTGGACACTTAGGTTGATTCCAGACTTTGCCATTGTGAACAGTGCTTTGGTAAACGTATGACTGCAAGTGTCTTTTTGATAGAATAATTTATTTTCCTTTGGGTAGATACCCAGCAGTGGGATTGCTGGATTAAATAGTAATTCTATTTTTAGCTGTTTGAGAAATCTCCAAACTGCTTTCCAAAGAGATTGAACTTATTTTCATTCCCACCAACAGTGTAGACGTGTTCTCTTTTCTCCATATCCACTCCAACATCTGTTGTTTTTTGACTTTTTACTAACAACCATTCTGACTGGTGTGAGATCATATCTCACTGCAGTTTTAGTTTGCATTTCTTTGATGACTGGTGATGTTGAGCATTTTTTTCACATTTGTTGGCTGCTTATATATCTTCCTTAAAAAAGTTCTGTTCATATCCTTTCCTCACTTTTTAATAGGGTTATTTGTTTTTGCTTGTTGAGTTATTTGAATTTCTTATAGATTATGAATATCAGCCCTTTGATTGATAAACTGTTTGCATTTTTTCCATTCTGTAGGTTATCTGTTTAATCTGTTGATTATTTCTTTTGCTGTTCAGAAGGCTTTTAGTTTAAGTTACATTTGTCTATTTTCATTTTTGTTATGTTTCCTTTTAAGGACTTAGTAACAAGTTCTTTGCCTAGACCAATGCACAGAAAATTTTTCTTTGGTTTTCTTCTAAGATTTTTTATAGATTCAGGTCTTACATTTATGTCTTTAATCCATCTTGAGTTAATTTGTGTATATGGTGAGACAAAGGGGTCCAGTATTACTCTTCTGCATATGGTTCTCCATTTGTTCGTGTCATCTGTGACTTCTTTCATCAGTGTTCTGGAGTTCTCCATGTAGAGGTCTTTCACCTTCAGGAGATATAATTTGAAGGGCAACCAGAATTCTCTTTAGCCCCATCATATATGTAAAATATCCTACTACTAGATATAATTTTAGGTTTATCTTTTTAGAGGATACATATCTTGGGGGATTTTAATACACTAAGACTGGTTACCTTTCAGTTACATCTTAGCTGAATGGAATTAAGATAATTTCTTTCTACTGAATAAACTGTTTAAGGTAACAAGGACTTCATGCCACACGACTTATATCTCCTATGTAAAGTCCCACCAAGAAATTTGTTCAGATGTTTCAAGAATCAGTGTCTGGAAACACTTGCTTCCCTTAGATACACTGTTTTGCCTCTTTATAGGAAAAGTGAAATGTGTAAATGATTAGTTTAGTAGCAATAAGGACTTTTCTCTGTTTTCACTTTCCCATAAGCTTTGACCTTCTATGTATATATAAGTGAAGTATTAAACTCCCCTTATTCATTTCTAGGTTCATTATCCTATAGTACATGGAATCCAAGGAAGAATTGATCTCCTTATCCCTGTGAATCATCCAGATGTTAACTGCTTCTCAGCATCATGTCCTCCTCGAGATCAATTTGGGAAACTCCTCCCATGGCAAAGACAGCTAGTTGTCTATAATTTGTTTCCTCCTTTTCCTTAGCCCCAGACCCTTGATTTTTAGCTAGGTAAATGTCTATCTATAATAAAGACCCCATTTTCCAGACTTCCTTGCTGCAGGTGTACACATGTGACTAAATCCTAGATGATGAGATGTAAGCTGAAATTGTGTGTGCAACTTCTAAGAAATGTTTCTAAAAACAGCAGCCACACTTTTCTTTGTGGTTGTCTTCTTCCTATTAGAATACAGATGAAATGTCAAGGATTCTAGCAGCCAGCTTCAACAATAAGATGACCTTGAGAAGGTAAACTACCTATAGAAAGTGACAAAAAATAGTACTTATCTCAAAGATACATGTAAATAATAATGAGAAAATGCCTAAGATGTATTTAGATAGTGGTTGTCACATAAAAGTTATTCAATAAACATTTATTGATTTTGATTTAGACTGAATTCTGATTTTGAGGTGAGGGCTATGAATTTGTGTGTGTGTGTGTGTGTGTGTTTCAACACTTATCCATTTGACATCAGATGAACTGAGCATCAGGACCTTAATTTGCACTCAAGTTACCAGACCACATCCACTGGACTATGTGAAAGTTAATCCTAGACTCTCCTGGTAGAAGTTTCCAGACATTCTATTCGATGGGCTAGATCAGATTTGGAGAAATCTAGGGGAATGGAGGATAGATCTTAAGGGAGACCAGCCTTTGAGTCTGGGAGAGCTAAGTTAAGTTTTAAATAACAAAGGCCTAAATAATACAGAGCTTAAAGGAGACAAACATTTTTTTCTTTTATTTGAGGGTTAGTGTAGCCACATTTAAGGACCTGATTAGATATTTTGAACAAACTGCTATCCTTCTCCTTAATTTCTGAGACATTGCAATAGGGATGTCTCTCTTGCAATTAAATTCATTTTCTTGGATATGATTATTAATCAATTTTTAAATTTTTTTCTATTTAAAAAATGTACTCTCATAAACTCCTTCAATCATTGGTGAAATAAGGCAGGGGATAACAATACAAATAAAATTAGGTCTGAGAAACTGTAAAATTACTGGGGGCATGGTGAGAGAAAGAAGACTTTTTGGAAGCTTAGTTGATAATATCTGATCAGTGAAACTGAGTGGGGTTCCCTGAGGGCAGCATGAAGATACTGGCCTAGTTGTCAGGAGACTCCAGACATGGAAGGTCCCTAGCCCAAGGGAAGGCCCTTGGGCTAGTTCTGCCAGTCTCACTATTGCCTCTCTCAATTGGGCTGTCAGATTTTTCTTTTTTTTTTCTGTATTAATGAGAATTATCATAATACAATACCTGTGACAGATCTTTAATATTTACTGAGTGCCAGCGTGGTACAGATGTGCAGAGATGTTTAAAAGGAAAGAACAGGTTTTCCCAGTTTCCTATTGTGAAGGTCATTTCACTTGTTTAGACTTAAAGAAAAATAATGGTGTATATTTTAACAAGCTTTCTCTTCAAAATGAATGTACAATGTGGGAATTTTAGTGAGCACTTAAGGACAGACAAAAATGATAATCACAGGAGGAGAAAGCATAAAAATGAAGCAGGTTCATCAGGTAATAGAAATCATTGTGTTTACTTACTTCTTTCTGAAGTCTAGACAGGTCAATCTATTCTGTGCTCTGCAAAGTATTGAGAATCTGTGATTCTCAATTTTATTCTCTGTAAAATAAAATGAAAACTAAGGATAACCTGAAAGTGAAAAGAATTTGTGGGTAGGGTATAGGAAGAATCTGCAATCCCCAAATGTTGTGCCTTAGTGAAAGGTGCCTAGGTTAATTCCATGCTGCATACACATTCAAAAAAAACTATATATATATATATATATATATATATATATATATATATATATATATATATATATATATCTCCATTGGCCTCCTTTGTACTAGGTGAGGGTATCAGAAGTCAACTTAGGCTAGATTAAGAAAAACAAAAGGGAGAGTTATTGTAAGAAAGTAGGAATATTGCATGGAAATTAAGGACAGGAATGAAGCTGGGCTTCAGGAAATCACAGCTCACAGCTAACACATTCCTATGTTGTAGTTCCATGCACTTGTGGATGGCTGCCTCATTGGCCAAAGTACAAATCTCAGGAGAGAGAAATTGAGCAGTTTGAATCAATGGCCAGAAGTGAGGGACATTAGGGGATGTAGTAAAATAGGGCTGTGAGAGGCCTGCTTTGTTATATTAATGGGGGACCAGAGAAGGTGAGTTAGCCTGTGGTCTAGGCAGGGACCTCGTAAGGTAAACTACTGTGATAAATTTTTGCTCAGCCCCAAAGAACCTGCTTAACTCCCTGTATGTAATCTGAAACAAAGTAGTAAATAAAAATAGATTTTTCATTTACCTCTTGTGTATTCTTCAAGTAACATCTTGCAAATCCTGCTGCTTTAAGTCAGCATAAAGGAATAGATGCTTCGATTAATTTGGTATATTCGCTTTGGAGAGGAAATTGTGAACTGCCTGATCTTTCTGTATTTTGAGGATTTAACACTAGGTAAATTTAAAGCAAATGAGTAACTGAAGACGGACAATTTATTTTCATCGATGTTTTAAAGCAGTAGGGCCTGTGATGCATGTGTTTGTAACCCATCCTTGACATCCAGGGACAGGCCTAGGATTTCCCATAGCAGTTTCCCTGTCATCAAACAACTTCTGAGGCCACATTGAATGAAAGAAGAAAATTGGCAGAGAATATCTAGTCACCTTGTGGGTGTATTTACAAAAAGAGTGATTGATTGGCCTATATTTGCAAAATATAAATCTTGCAAAAGAATTCCTCAGCCATCTTTGGATTGCCTGTGTTTGACGCTGAAAGCTCAGAGTCAATCTCTAGATTCATTGAAATGATGGAAGCAACTGCAGAGGCAGTATTTGCACATCTGATCGTGTCAGCTGAGTATTCTGGAATCTGGAGAAATGGCACTCTGATCAATGTGCAGAAAACCAGCATCTTCAGGCAAGCTGAGAGCAAATCTTGGAGATGCTGTTGATGCTGTTTTTTTTGTCACTCACAGATTATTCTTGGATGTGAGACTCACTACAATTAAGACTGAAATAGTTTCCATTAACCAATATGTGTATATATATATATATATTTTTTTTTTTAAATTATACTTTAAGTTCTAGGGTACATATGCACAACATGCAGGTTTGTTACATATGTATACATGTGCCATGTTGGTTTGCTGCACCCATTAACTCGTCATTTACATTAGATATTTCTCCTAATGCTATCCCTCCCCCATCCTCCCAACCCATGACAGGCCCTGGTGTGTGATGTTCCCCACCCTGTGTCCAAGTGTTCTCATTGTTCAGTTCCCACCTATGAGTGAGAACATGTGGTGGTTGGTTTTCTGTCCTTGCAATAGTTTCCTCAGAATGATGGTTTCCAGCTTCATCCATGTCCCTACAAAGGATATGAACTCATCCTTTTTTATGGCTGCATAGTATTCCATGGTGTATATGTGCCACGTTTTCTTAATCCATTCTATCACTGATGGACATTTGGGTTGGTTCCAAGTCTTTGCTATTGTGAATAGTGCTGCAATAAACATACGTGTGCATGTGTCTTTATAGTAACATGATTTCTAATCCTTTGGGTATATACCCAGTAATAGGATTGCTGGGTCAAATGGTATTTCTAGTTCTAGATCCTTAAGGAATCGCCACACCATCTTCCACAATGGTTGAACCAGTTTATATTCCCACCAACAGTGTAAAAGCAGTCCTATTTCTCCACATCCTCTCCAGCACCTGTTGTTTCCTGACTTTTTAATGATTACCATTCTAACTGGCATGAGATGGTATCTCATTGTGGTTTTGATTTGCATTTCTCCGATGGCCAGTGATAATGAGCATTTTTTCATGTGTCTGTTGGCTGCATGAATGTCTTCTTTTGAAAAGTGTCTGTTCATATCCTTTGCCCACTTTTTGATGGGTTTGTTTGATTTTTTTCTTGTAAATTTGTTTAAGTTGTTTGTAGATTCTGGATATTAGCCCTTTGCCAGATGAGTAGATTGCAAAAATTTTCTCCCATTCTGTAGGTTGCCTGTTCACTCTGATGGTAGTTTCTTTTGCTGTGCAGAAGCTCTTTAGTTTAATTAGATCCCATTTGTCAATTCTGGCTTTTGTTGCCATTACTTTTGGTGTTTTAGACATGAAGTCCTTGCCCATGCCCATGTCGTGAGTGATATTGCCTAGGTTTTCTTCTAGGGTTTTTATGGTTTTAGGTCTAACATGTAAGTCTTTAATCCATCTTGAATTAATTTTTGTATAAGGTATAAGGAAGGGATCCAGTTTCAGCTTTCTACGTAGGGCTAGCCAGTTTTCCCAGCACCATTTATTAAATAGGGAATCCTTTCCCCATTTCTTGTTTTTGTCAGGTTTGTCAAAGATCAGATGGTTGTAGATGTGTGGTATTATCTGTGAGGGCTCTGTTCTGTTCCATTGGTCTATATCTCTGTTTTGGTACCAGTACCATGCTGTTTTGGTTACTGTAGTGTTGTAGTATAGTTTGAAGTCAGGTAGTGTGATGCCTCCAAAATAGAGAATTGGTGATGGTGATGGTCTAAATTAATTGCACATAGGACAACCAGGGTACTGTAGAAATACCACTTACCACTTTAAATTCAGGCAAATTATTGTGTGTCAAGAAATATTAAATGGAATATAGCCTATCCACTCCCTAAATATATTAAAACATCTATCTATCTATCTATCTATCTATCTATCTATCTATCTATCTATCTATCTAATTGTGTGTTTGTGTGTGTGTGTGTGTGGTGTGTTCAAAAAATCAACTGGGACAATTCTAAAAAGAATATTAATCTTTTAAAAATAATAAACTAGGTGATGTTAATTTGTTTAAGAATAATGTAAGTAGTTTTTAGTGGATTCACAGGAAACAACATTTCATCTTACCTTCTGAAACTATTAGAGATTGATTAAAAAACTAACATCTTAAAGGAAAATAATATAGTTATTTTTTGGAATAGTATCTTTTGGATTTTGTCTTGTTTTGCATTTAATTGACTTTACATTAAAATGCCCATGAACAATTAAGGTTTCATGAAAAAGAAAATTTTACTAGATTTTAGTCCGGTGAAATTACAATAAAAATTTATAAGACTCATAAGACACAGGTAAGGAAAGGATAAAAATTCATTCAAGGGTAACATCAGTAACAATGTGGTGATGTGGTCAGGATAACTTTAAAGTTGTTTCTTAAGGTGCATGTGTTGAGTAGGGGAGAGGCTATACGTTTTTCTTAACCTAAATGGCAAATACAAATCATTTTCTGTATCTTTCTGCATTGTGTTAAAATAATATCTTGACAATCTTGCTATTCTGAAAGTAACAAAATAGTATATATATATATATGTGTATATATATGAAATATATATATTTTTTTCCTGAGACGGAGTCTCGCACTGTCGCCTGGGCTGCAGTGCAATGGTGCCATCTTGGCTCACTGCACCCTCCGCCTCCTGGGTTCATGCGATTCTCCTGCTTCAGCCTCCCAAGTAGCCGGGATTACAAACATGCACCACCACACCCGGCTAATTTTTTGTATTTTTCGTAGAGACGAGGCTTCACTATGTTGACCAGACTGGTCTCGAACTCCTGACCTTGTGATCTGCCCACCTCAGCCTCCCAAAGTGCTGGTATTACAGGCATGAGCCACTACGCCTGGCCCAAAAGAGCATATTTTTATTTATTTGATATATTCCATTTGGAGACTGAATTTATGACATGAGATTTATAGTCATAGTCCATTAAGATTTTTTATATGAAATATTCTAAAACCTTTACTTTCTTCAGAGACAGGTAGTAAGCTGTTAAACTAAAAACATGACTAAACTAATTTCATATATGCTCAGAATCTATTTTTACTTTGCAATTTCTCTACCATATTACCCAATCTCTTTCTCCTTTTCCCTCTACATATTTCCTTTTCCTTCCTTCAACTCATGCATTATTGAAACTTAACAAAGCGCAAATGAACAAATGTCTGGCTTTAAATGTAATTGAGAATTCCTATTTTTTCTCAACTTTATACATATGCATATCCTGTCATCAGAGAATGATTTCATCATATTGGTTGCCTCCAGAACTCACAGTACTCTTACACCCAAATTTGTTGTTGGCTCAGCATGGTCCCTGGAATAAGAATTCTTTGCATTCTAATTCCAGATATTGATTGACCATGTGTTACTTTGGGAACAACAGCTGACTTCTTTCCTTAGTAAGATAATGAGAAAATTACTGACCTCCTCTCCAGAGAGGTTTGGCAAATAGAGGATTACAAAATGCTTTGCATTAGAAGTGCTAAATATTCTTCTAAGTGCTTTCATTTTTCTTGGCATAGCAGTGTTCATTTATGGACCATTTTATGGGAAGGCTTTAACCAGGAAGTACATGTGACTATGTTTAGTCACTGCAAACATCTGTACATTCAAGAGGATCTGACTAAAAGGGAGTTCTAGAACTACAAACATAGCCTGACAGCCTGACCATGTGCCTGTAAATGAGGACACCAAGAGCTCCCATTCCATGTTTTCCAGATGGGCTCACTCTTGAGCTATAAGACCTGCAACTTAGCCATTCTGAATCGTTGCCTACTCACTGTTAGACACTCCTAATTGTGCCATTACTGGGTAAGGTAGAAAACAATGTGATTGAGATTAGATGGAATTCAGCACAGAAAAGGAATCTCAAGGCCACGGTGGCATGGCAGTCTAACGTGACTGGAGCTATTCCAGTATTGGCGAACACTTTAAAAAGAAAACAAATGGGGGACCAACGAACATTTCCCTTGTCACTGTTTCAACACCTCAAGGCAGAGCTCTGTTTCGCCACTGAATTTTTTTTCATTTTTTCATTTTTTAATTTGAGACGGAGTCTCTCTCTGTCACCCAGGCTGGAGCGCAATGGCGCGATCTTGGCTCATTGCAACTTCCACCTCCCGGGTTCAAGTGATTCTCCTGCCTCAGCCTCCCGAGTAGCTGGGATTACAGGTGCCTGCCACTATGCCCAGCTAATTTTTGTATTTTTAGTAGAGACAGAATTTCACTCTGTTAGCCAGGATGGTCTCAATCTCCTGACCTCGTGATCCACCTGTTCTCAGCCTCCCAAAGTGCTGGGATTACAGGCATGAGGCACCGCGTCCGGCCCTGAATTTTTAAATGGAAGTGTGTGTTTCCATCGCATTTGTTTTCCTGACAGTTCAGGTGGTATGAGGTTTCCCCAGGCCAGCTGCAGCCCACTTGCCCTTGGCTCCCTGCTTCTCTGTGGTGCATCTTCCTAGCCTCCTCATAGCTTAAGGGTTTTCAAGCACACTGAGTTTGTGTTAGTAAAATATTTAGTTGCACTAGAATCTACAACTTGCAAAGGTCCTCCAGCAGAACTGAGAAGAAATTATTGTAAAAAGATGACTACCTCCCCTCTTTAAAGACACACACACACAAACACACACACACACAGAGAGAGAGAGAGAGAGAGAGAGAGAACTGGAGAACTGCCACATATCTAGTGAAGGGTGTAGCTGTTACTACACTTAGCTCCTCCACGCTCACTCTAGCACCATGTATAACTACATTCTAAGACCTGTTTTAAGGCCACCATGTGATTCTGTATGGACTTCAGCCTGCCCAACTACACCTTTGCTCAGACCCTTTCTAGGTACTCACTAGGTTCATTTGCTCTCCCTCAACTGTTTGGTGAGTACCTTCTCTGTGATAACACAACTCAAGGTAACAGGAAGAAACACAGTTAAAATCCCTTCCTTTATGGAATTTGAACTGTAGATTTGGAGACTCTGTTTTTGAACCTGTAAGTTACAGTACAACTTCAGATAGTAACAAGTGTCAAGAATAAAATAAGCTGGGGAAAGAGAGTTATAGAGTTAGAGTTGTCAGGGAAGGTCTCTCTTGATGTACAAAAAGCTGTGCACGTTTTATGTATACAACTCCATCCATTTGGAGATAAGTGTACACCCATTGTATTAGTCCATTCTCATGCTGCTAATAAAGACATACTCGAGACTGGGTAATTTATAAAGAAAAAGAGGTTTAATGGACTCACGGTTCCATGTGGCTGGGGAGGCCTCACAATCATGGCAGAAGGCAAAAAAGGAGAAAGGCAGGTCTTATGTGGCGGCAGGCAAGAGAGGACATGTGAAAGGGAACTCCCTTTTATAAAGCCATCAGATCTTATGAGACCCATTCACTGTCATGAGAACAGTACGGAAAAGACCTGCCCCAGAATTCAACTACCTCCCACTGTGTCCCTCTCATGACAGGTGGGAACCATGGGAGCCACAACCTGAGATTTGAATGGGGACACAGCCAAACCACATCACCCATGAAATCATCACTGTCACTTATTACTCATCATTATTATTATTGCAGTAAGAACACAATGTATGATCTACCTTCTTAGTAAGTTTTTAAGTATACAATAGTGTTACCTATAGGCACTATGCTATGCAATAGATTCTAGGACTTATTCATCGTGTATAACTGGAACTGTGTACTCTTTGACTAATATCTCCCCATTCTCTCTTAGCCCCTGAAAACTGCAGTTCCACTCTCTGCTCCTATGGGTTTGACTATTTTAGACTCAGCATATAAGTCATGTCGCGTAGTGTTTGTCCTTCCGTGTCTGGCTTATTCCATTTAGCGTGTTCTCCAGGCCATTCACGTTGTAGCATGTGACAGGATTTTCTTTTTTTAAGACTTTATAATATTTCATTTTTTGTACATACCGCATTATCTTTATCCATTTGTCTGTCGATGAACATATAACACGTTGCTTCCACATGTTGGCCATTGTGAATCATGCTGCAGTGAGTACAGGGATGGAGATGTATGAGTCTGGATCTTAAAGTGTGCCTGCTTGTGTCTAGTGATCATGTTTCCACCAGTCTCATCAGGTGTTGCCATGTCACCTGAAGCCAGACAACCCTACTGGAGCTGTGGTTGGCTGAGCCGCAGTTCTCTATAGCACTCAAAGGAAGGGCATTCTTTATATATAAATTGCTTCTATGTTTCACAATTTAGGCTTGGAAAAAATAGATAAAATCTGCTTTTTTGTGTTCTTCATCATTGTCTGAATACTTCTTTTTCACTAAACGTAATCCTTAAAAACCACCTGAAAATGATGTGAGAAAGATGTTCCTCTCACCCCTATGTGAGCAAGGCTGTAGTGACAAGATTTGGCCACTAGATGGTGGGTATATGTCAGTACTGTGCAGTAATAACAGTGTTTCTCTTTGACAAAGGAGTCAAAGAATAAGTTAATGTATTAAAGAAACACAAAATACATGTGCATTTAAAATTCTGTTTGGTTGAAATAATTGGCAAGAGAAAAAAGAAAAGATAAAAAAGCACCATTTTCTGCAGTCCACGTTTTGTTTTTACATTTTTCCTTGAGAGGATTTTTGGCTTCTTTTTAAAATGGTCTTATGACATGAAATACTCATATATGTAAGACAGAAACCCCACAGATCATGGCTATAGCTGTGGAGCAGATTCCTCTTACTCCTCATTTCATCCGCTGAACTGAGACCTGTTTTCCAGCAGAAAGTGTCTTTTGCCATCTTTGTGCCTCCAGGAACTTGCATAAGTCTTGCAATGTCTTAGGTGTTCAATAATTCTTATTTTAAAAAATGAGCAAATGAACAAAATCTGTTTCCTTCTGCATTTTTTTTCCAGTAAGAGGGAAAGGTCTTCCCCTGTTTTTCTCTCTTCCACTTGCACTCATGAACATTTTCACATGAGGAAGGAAGGAAAAAGTATATCCTATTTTCCAGACACTATTTTTCAGACACCATAAAGCACACCATCTTAGAAACAGGAAGCCTTAAGGACTAAGGAAGAGGTGGGAACATGGACCACAGTTGGAATTGCCAAAGCCCAGGATCCTGTAGGGTCCTCCCAGTGTGCACTCTCAGACTCTCTCCCTTTTGCATGAACTATGGTGGCACTGGTGGGGAATTACCTTCATTAATTGATTGTCTGGGAGATTACCTATAGTCAGGGAACCTGACTCTATTACACACCTTTCTCTTTCCAGTGATTGACACTTTGCCGGGCATAGAGTAGGTATCTGAAATAATAGACTCCCCATTGTTTACTTTCTTATTGACAGACTGAAATCTTGAGTTAATGTAATACCTAGAACTGTCCATAAAGTTTTGGGTAAATAATGCAAATATGAGCGATTGTGACTGTATTGAGGTATCTGTGATGACTGAGAATTGCTCAGATCTCAAGTTTTCTTCATGAGATAATTTGAATGTTCAGTGCATTATACTTCATGCCTTTACCTGAAATGTATCACTCAGTGTGAATGCTCACTGTATTTCTTTATTGATTAAAATGAAAGAAACAGAAAAGTAAAAGATTAGAATTTCGTTCTCTTTTTTATGGCCAGAAAATAAAAGGCAATTACTTCCCCCTCTAGTCATATGGTTACATTTATTTGGTAAGTGGTATTATAATAGAAGTGCATGGATTTCACTTATACTTAAATTTTATTAAAATGATCTTCAAACTTTTTAGTGCTACTAGACATGCTTTGGGGGTCTCAAGTATTGCTTTAAACATATGACCCATCTCTCCTATGCAGAGATTCTTGCTGTGATGAAATTTTTTTGGATAAGAAATTATCTGAACCATTATATGTTTCCCGATGTGTCTTCTGAGAAGAGTCTAGTTATAATATTCCCGGAAAGCTCTTCCTTGTTTATCTTAGTTTCTTTACAAGCCTTGTCTTAGAGTGTCAGTAAGAACAATAATCACTTATATGTGCATAAGGCTTTACCTTTTTAAAGGTGTTATATACACTTTTATTCATTTCATCCTCACAGTAATAAATTAAGCAGTATGGAGAGACCCACTTTACAGATGAGAAACAGAGGCTGAGATATTTTCCAGACACATTCATAGCAATAATACTGAAGGCAAAAAAAATTAGGTTCCAATTATAGTTTTCAGATTCCTCATTTTTTCCTGACCCATGCCATTTCTCAATTGTGCTAATATCAGTTCATTAGAGAAGGTGGCTTTGGAGTAAGAACTTGTTTTATTTAGCACACCTGAAAGGGCATCTCAATAACAGTCTCTTGGCTAGTAGCCTTTTTCTTATTCATAATATAGAGAAAGAAGCTCTATAATGATTAGCCAATATCTGCCATGTATTCCAGGCCCCTGACAATGAGCACACGAGCATTGGTGTTACTATTTTTGGGTACAGCATTTATTAATAGATTAGATATTACTTGGGGAAAAGGGCAATGCTTCATCAAAAGACAAAGTGCTAGCTTTGATATCTCTTTGTGCAGCTGCTGAACATTTCTAGTGCCTGCTTCTAATCTAAAGACTAGCTGGTGGATTTGCCCTTTTTCTTGTGAAATATCTGTTCTTATGAGAAACTAGTATCAATGCATATTGAGAATTTTTATGTCTTATTAAAGGTTGTTCACTGATATTTGTAGGATCCTGCAGCACCTACCACGTTATTATCAGGCAAATTTTAACTTTCTTTGAGAGAAATAATGTTATGAAAAGAGTTCTTCAAAATCCTAAGGGATTGTACTATCGCAGTAAGCATCTTTGTTCTTTGTTGTTGAAAATGAATGTGACTCACTTTTTTTGAAGTGGCTTGGAGTAGACCTTGTTTCAGAGCTGGAATTTTAAGAGGGAAGATTTAATGCCACCATTGCAATATTTTCACACAAGACTGGGCAAGGCTTAGTTAGCTTCAGAAAATGAAGTGACTTGGGAGGGGCAGTTCTCATTTGGGGCAGGTTGAGGGATGCCTATCATTTCAGGTACTCAAGGCTGTCTAGTCAGGCAAAAAAAAAAAAAAAGAGCACAGTTTCTCTAGGTTCTGGAATAACACATTATAGATGAAACAAGCAATTGGTACTCGTTGATGAAGAGGATAAGGAGCGAGGGGATGAGTCTGAGATATCATACCAACATGTCCTGAGGAGTTAGAGTGACTTCCAGGAATTTGAAAGCAGAGTGGATCAGGGAGCTGTGGGCAGGGGACTCAGCCACTGAAGGGGCAATCAAGGCACTGGACTCCAGTCCCTGGAGGGCAACTACCGGTCCTAAAGAGTCTGGAATCCAGGAAGATTTTTAAGGTAAGGACTTGGTGCAAGAACAAGGGTTAAAGCTTTGTAATCAGAACTTGGTCAAAAGGTGAAGCTTAATTCTTGAGAATGACACAGAAGCCCACTAATCATCAAGGTGAAGAGACAAATGGAAGGAAAATGAATTAAGACTCTTCAGTTCCCCTTACTCTCTGTGAGATCTTGTCCAGGTCACTCATTTCTGCTTAACCTCAATCTTTTTTTCTATTACATGGCAATGATAATCAGGTCCACTTCAAAGTTGTGAGGAAGCTATAACATATCTGGAATAGCTTTGAGTATTATAAAATACACACAAAGAGTTACTGTTCATAAGTTTATCACATGATTAGTAATCATTTGTCTTCTGAGCACTGTGCTTTTTATGATAAATAATACTGTTTTTTAAATAAACAACAACAGAATGGCTTCCTTGTGCCATCTTGTTGGTGTGTGTTGGGGGGTGTGAAATTTAGCGGTAATTTATGAAACAAATGCTTACTTTTTAAAGACAAAAAGGGACCCCAGGAGAGAGAGTTGTAGGTTATTCTTACAGCTCAGGCAAAATTTGAACTTCAAGGCAATATGGGGAAGAAACAGAATGATCTCTTATATTTAAACAATGGCAGCTCACAAAAATTAGCCCAGTACATGACTGATTTCTATCAACATTGTATTATTGTAGAGATATTTTACAGTTTGATTTCTTCTCCAAAATCTAAATGTACTAATTACAGTTTTACATCTATAAAAATGCTTTTCTTCATTTGTGACAAAAGTCTGAAATGTACACTTGTCATTCTCACTTCATTAATCCCTGACCATATAAGGCTTTTTGACTTAAAAAAAGGAACAAAATTATCCCAATACATTATCCTGTGGTTTATCTTACCTATTAAAAATGGAAGAAGACACAAATACACGGAAGGATATCCTATTTTCATGAATTGAAAAAATTAATATTGTTAAAATGTTCATACTATTTAAAGTGATCTATAGATTCAATATAATCCATATCAAAATTCCAATGACATTTTTCATAGAAACAGAAAAAAAACTTAAAATTTGTATGAAGACCTTTAATAGCCAAATCAGTAATGTTGGCAAAAAGAACAAAGCTAGAGTCTCACACTATCTGATATCGGTATATACCACAAAGCTATAGTGACCAAACAATATGGTACTTCCATAAAAACAGACACATAGACCAATGGAACAGAATAGAGAGCCCAGAAATAAATCCACACATTTATGGTCAATTGATTTTTTTACAAAGGTGCCAAAAAGATACAGTGGGGAAACAGAGTTTATTCAATAAATGTTGCTGAGAAAACTGGATGTACACATGCAGAAGAATGAAATTCAACTCCTATCACACACTATGTATTAGTCCATTCTCGCACTGCTAATAAGAAATAGCCATGACTGGGTAATTTATAAAGGAAAGAGGTTTAATTGACTCACAGTTCCACATGGCTGGGGTAGCTTCAGGAAACATACAATCATGGCAGAAGGCAAAGGAGAGGCAGGCACCTTCTTCACAGGATGGCAGGATGGAGTGAATGCAAGCAGGGGAAATGCCAGATGATTATAAAACCATCAAATCCTGTGAAACTCACTCATTATCACAAGACAAGCATAAGGGAAACTGCTCCCATGATCCAGTTACCTCCACCTGGTCCTGCCCTTGACATGTGGGGATTATTAAAATTTAAGGTGAGATTGGGGCAGGGACACAGAGCCAAACCATATAATTCTACCCCTGGCCCTTCCCAAATCTCATGTCCTCACATTTCAAAACACAATCATGCCCTTCCAACAGTCCCCCAAAGTCTTAATTAATTCCAGCATTAACCCAAAAGTCCAAGTCTAAAGTCTCATCTGAGACAAGGGTCAAGTCCCTTCCGTCTCTGAGCCTGTAAAATCAAAATTAAGTTAGTTACTTCCTAGATACAATGGGGGTACTGGCATTGAGTAAATACACCCTTTCTGAATGGGAGAAATTGGCCAAGACAAAAGAGCTACAGGCCCGTTGCAAGTCTAAAATCCAATTGGGCAGTCATTAAACCTTACTTTTGCAAAATGATCTCCTTTGACTCCATGTCTCACATCCAGGTCACACTGATGTAAGAGGTGGGCACCCATGGCCTTGGGCAGCTGCACCTCTGTGGCTTTGCAGGGTAGAGCCCCACTCCCAGCTGGTTTTATGGGCTGGCATTGAGTGTCTGTGCCTTTTCCAGGTGTACAGTGCAAGCTGTCAGTCGATCTATCATTCTTGGGCCTGGAGGACGGTGGCCCTCTTTGCACAGCTCTACTAGGCAGTGCCCCAGTGGGGACTCTGTGTGGGCGCTCTGATCCCATATTTCCCTTCTGCAGTGCCCTAGCAGAGGTTCTTCCTTAGGGCTCCACCCCTGCAGCGAACTTCTGCCTTGACATGCAGGCTTTTCCATACATCTTCTGAAATCTAGGTGGAGGTTCCCAAACCTCAGTTCTTGACTTCTGTGTACCCACAGGCTCAACACCACATGGAAACCACCAAGGCTTGGGACATGCTTCCTCTGAAGCAATGGCCCGAGCTGTACCTTGGCCCCTTTCAGTCATGGCTGGAGCTGAAGCAGCTGGGATGCAGGGAACCATGCTGTAAGGCTGCACATAACAGCGGGGCCTGGGCCCAGTCCATGAAACCATTTTTCCCTCCTAGGCCTCTGGGCCTGTGATGGGAGGGGCTGCTGCAAAGGTCTCTGACATGCCATGCAGACGTTTTCCCCATTATCTTGGTGATTAACATTGGGCTCCTTACTTATGCAAATTTCTGCAGCAGGCTTGAATTTCTTCCCAGAAAATGGGTTTTTCTTTTCTATCACATCCTTAGGCTGCAAATTTCCCAAACTTTTATGCTGTGCTTCCTCTTGAATGCTTTGCTGCTTAGAAATTTCTTCTGCCAGATATGCTAAATCATCTCTCTCAAGTTCGAAGTTCCACAGATCTCTAGAGCAGGGGCAAAATGCTGCCCAGTCTCTTTGCTAAAGTATAGCAAGAGTCACCTTTGCTCCGGTTCCCAAGAAGTTTCTCATCTTCATCTGAGACCACCATAGCCTGGACTTTATTTTCCGTATCACTATCAGCATTTTTGGTCAAAGCCATTCAACAGGTATCTAGGAAGTTCCAAACTTTCCCACATTTTCCTGTCTTCTTCTGAGCCCTCCAAATTGTTCCAACCTCTGCCCATTACCCAGTTCCAAAGTTGCTACCACATTTTTGGTTATCCTTAAAGCAGTGCCTCACTATCTCAGTACCAATTTACTGTATTAGTCCATTCTCACACTGCTATGAAGAAATACCTGAGACTGGGCAATTTATAAAGGAAAAAGTTTAATAGACTCACAGTTCTGCATGGCTGGGGATGCCCCAGGAAATGTACAATCATGGCTGAAGGTAAAGGAGAGGCAGGCACATTCTTAATGGAGGGGGAGGACAGAATGAGTGCAAGCAGGGGAAATTACAGCCCCTTATAAAACCATCAGGTTCTGTGAGACTTACTCATTATCGCAAGAACAGCATGGGGGAAACCACTGCCATGATCCAATTACCTCCACCTGGTCCTACCCTTGACATGTGGGGATTATTACAATTCAAGGTGACATTTGGGTGGGGACACAAAGCCAAACCATATCACACTGTATACAAAAATCAACTCAAAATGGACTAAAAACTTAGATTTAAGGCCTGAAGCTGTAAAACTACTAGAGGAAAACACAGGAAAAAAGCTTCTTATCATTAGCCTGGGCAATAATTTTATTTTCGATATGACTCCAAAAGCACAGGCAAGAAAAACAAAAATGCACAAGTAAAATTGCATCAAATTAAAAACCTCTGCACAGCAAAGAAAACAATCAATAGAGTAAAAAGATAACTTAGGCAATGGGGGAAAATATTTGAAAATTGTACATTTGATAAGGGTTAATATCCCAAATATAAGGAACTCTAACAACCCAATAACAGGAAAACAATGTGATGAAAACACTAGCAAAAGACCTGAATAGACATTTCTCAAAAGAAGATATATAGATAGCCAAAACGTATATAAAAAATGTTCAACATCACTAACAATTAGTAAAATGCAAGTTAAAATCATAATGAGATATCACTTCTTACCTGTTAGAATGGCTATTAGCAAGAAAACAAAAGATTACAAGTATTGAGGCAGATATGAAAGAAAGAGAACCCTTGTACACTGCTGGTAGGAATAGTAGATTAGTACAGTCATAAAAAATAGTATGGAGGTTTCTAAAAAAATAAAAAATAAGACTTAATGTGATCCAGCAACTTCACTTCTGTGTATGTATCCAAAAGTGATGAAATTAGTTCTCAAAGAGATATCTGCCCTCCCATGTTAAGCTGCAGCATTTTTCACAATAGCTAAGATATGGAACCAACTTAAGTGTTCATCAGTGGATGAACGGACAAAGAAAACGTGATGTATATACACAATGGAATACTATTCAGCCTTAAAAAAGAGGGAAATACTGTCATTTGTAACAAACCTGGAGGACATTATGCTAATCAAAACAAGCCAGGCACAAAAAGACAAATACTGCATAATCACATTTATATGTGGAATCTAACAATGTTGAACTATAGTAGCAGAGAGTAGAATGATGGTTAGTAGTGGCTGGGGAAAGGGAAAATGGGATGTTAGTCAAAGAGTGCAAAGTTTCAGACAGACAAGTTAAATAAGTTCTGGAGATCTATTGTACAGCATGGTGACCCTAGCTAATAGTAATAATTTCTTAGAGAGTAGATCTTAAATGTTCTCACCACAAAAAGATAATTATTCAAGGTGATGGATATGTTAATTCATTTGATTCAATCATTTCAAGATGTATAAATATATCAAAACATCACATTGTATGCTGTAAATTATATGACTTACTTGTCAGCTATATCTTAATAAAGCTGAAAAAATAAAACAAACTGAAGCTTAAATAATGAATAGAATTACGCCAGAGGGAAATTACGCCAGTGAGAAGATGAACTGAACAAAAGTGTGAAGAAAGGAAAGATCAACAGAAAAGATAAGTAGATAAGAAGGGGCAGAAAGGAGAAAAATCAATATTTGGAAATGAGATTGAAAGAGTATAAGGCACGCTATTGAAGGGCTCTTAATGCTAAATTTAGGAGTTGAAATATGACTCTTCTCAAGAAAACAAAGAAGGGGAACATCACACTCTGGGGACTGTTGTGGGGTGGGGGTTGGGGGGAGGGATAGCTTTAGGAGATATACCTAATGCTAAATGACGAGTTAATGGGTGCAGCACACCAGCGTGGCACATGTATACATCTGTAACTAACCTGCACATTGTGCACAAGTACCCTAAAACTTAAAGTATAATAATAATAAAATTAAAAAAAAAACAAAGTTTTATGAATGTGAGCCTCTAATTGCTGTTTTAAAGAAAAGCGCTTTCTGAACATGTGAGTTAATGTACATGTTCTTAAGCATGAACATGCACATGTAGACTGCTGCTATGATAACATGACACCAGCAGTTACCACCCATGCTGAAAATACTAGAAAAGCTTTGTTTTATTTATAAAGTGAACTAGAGCCATCTTAAAAGATGAGGATGAATGTTGGCCAAAAGTGTTTTGAGGTAATCTTAGACACATCTCTAATGCCAGTACGACCTACTCAGCAATATGATATAATATAATTTATGTAATAATTACAAAACAATGATGCCCTTTAAACTTTAAAAAGTGCATTTGAATGTAAATATAATTTTAAATATGAACAAACTTGACAGTGGAATTCCAGTTTGTCTGCTTCTTAATGAGTTTTGTAAGCTCTTAAAAAAGAAAATAGTTAACCTAATTAATACCTGGGGATGGGAAAGGGATGGTTCTAAATTGTCCTGCCCATTACATATGTTGCATCTATTTATATATTTACCCAAAAAGACCATCTTCATTTATAATTATTAATATAAGTTGAACTGTGGATATAAGATAGAGAGCTAGTTTTATGTTATTAGAATTCAATACTTAGCTCCTGAATTAACATCCATTATCAAAAATGAAGACTAGACTGGTTCCCTTTCAGAATACATTTATAAAATGTCACTTACAAATAAGTGTTTCAGGTTAATTGAGTGACATGCTGTTGTGTAGGCGTTTGAATGCAAAAGTCTGGCTTTTTCTTTCTGCTATGTTCGGAAAACGCTTTTGTCACTTTTTCACCTCCTCATAGGAAATATGCCTGCTTTGTGGTTTTCAATCACTCACTAATATTTTTATAAGGGATATTAAATGTAAAAGACCATATCCTTAGAGGGACGGTGACTCAAAGAGTCAAGTAAAAATTAGGACTGTTTCTGCCCTTGGGTTTTTTTTTTTTTTTTTACTTCAGGTAAACTATGAAATGTACTTGAACAACTTCAGTGATTACATCTGTGAAAATAGAGATTACAATGGTGCGTTAGTCAATTTGTTTCCCTAATACTTCTTGAAACTTTCCTTTCAATTTTTTAATTCCTTGCACATTCTCTTTTTTCATTTGCTCATCCTTCCAACACCATTTATTATTTGTCATTTTTTTTTGCTCTTTTAAAAGTTCACACTTACGTTTGTGCATGGGTCTCTTCTGATGCCTTTATTCTCTTCCTCTCTCTCAATTCAGGGGTGGGGGTCTGTCTTTGCATTAGACGTCGTTTCTGTCTCTTCTCAAGTCCTGACTCCTCTGCTTGGGGAACTGAGAGGGGATCAGAGACAAAGTGCAGATATCTTTTCCCTCAGTTTCCCATGGCTGTTGGTTTCTGTGTTTCTCTGCCAATATTGAGTGAAGGACGTTGTCTACCCATGTCCTCTTTTCAGTATCTGTGTCAGATTCCCAGCAGAAAAAAAAAAAAAAGAAAAAACAGATTTTGGTAAGGAGCTATAATTTTCTATGACATATGTAAAAATACATTTTAAAAATCTAAGTTAGAGAAGTCAATCAATAGTTGAGATGATAACTTACATTCAATATACTGGGGAAGAAAGAGCCACCAATAAAATAAGTTATGAAAGACTCTAAATGGAACCAATGCCAGAGTCCAGAGTGGTTGTGGTCTTTTTAGCTGCTAATTCTGAAAAGTTTTTCTTAACACCTTTAGATCTCTTGAAAACTAAAACTTTCAGATATCTCAACTCCTGAAGGACTAAAGAGACACTTATTTTGGTAGTGTGTGGTGACCATGCTCTGATTTAGTTCAAACTTCTCTCTGAGTAACAAGACCAGCTGCCGTCTGGTTTCTTGCTGGTTTGTTTGCAATAGCAAAGCTCAAACAAGTGTCCCAGCCTCCCTGTGCCTTGCTGCCAGACCAGCATCACCCCTTCCCGATCTTTGAGACATTTTAGGTGAGATCCTGGGGAATGTAGTACCAATTATAAAAGATGACTCCAGTGCTGAGAGGTCAGAGAAATATTTTGGAAGCAACGCAGTAAAGAAAATTGGAGATAAATACAGAGAGGAAATGAAGGCACAGATAAATTATGATCACTACATGTTACCATAACTAAATTGAGGATAGATTTCAATATACTAGCAGTCTCTATTGGATTACTTTTGAAATATCAATTTTCTTTCCAACCATATTAATTGATAACTTTTGTGGTTATTGCCAAAAAACTGAATTAAGATGGTAGTGGATCCATGAAGGCCATAAGCAACTACTGTCATTTGAGTTTGAGAGGCCCAAGCTGTTATCTCATCATTCATGCCCTTCCCGTTCTTCCCAGCTTCTGCATACTATTTGGGACAGATAATATTGGGAGGCACACAAAAAGATGAGCAACGTGGCTTTAAATGTCAGTTAGACAGAATTTCTTAAAGTCTTACTCATTGTCATATTATTGTTAACCCTGACACATTTACAAATCAGCAACAACAATGGACTGGAGTCAAGAGAAATGAGTCTTGGTCCTGGCTTTGCTGCTAGTTAAGTAGTGAATCTTGGACAATTGTTTCACGTCTCAGTTTCCATCTATTAACTAAGACGTTTTTATCTAGATGCTTTTAAAGGCCATTTTGTTCCATAATGTGAATTAACAATTCACTAATACACAGTTAGGAAAACAAATTCAGTCACACTGCTTCTCCCATTTGTTTCTTTAATGACTTTCATTTATTCTAGCTGAATACTTTCGGCCTCATGATATGGCAAGCAAGGCAGGAGGATGTGGCAATGGGTAGACCACCTTATTCTTTACACTAACATAATGTGAACCAGTCACGGGAGTCTGTAACTGGTGAATACTTCATAGTTTACCTTAGCCATATTTCAAAATTAAAATAAAGGAGAAATAGCTTAGAAAAGTGAAGTGACCAGTTTAAGATCAAAAGCTGGTAAATTAAAGAGTAGAAAAGACAATGCATGTCTCTTGACTGTTAATCCTCTGATGTATTTCTTTAAGTCTTACTATGTTGGGTTTCCTCCTCATATTGAAAGTATTTGAGAATCTCATCTGTAATACACTAAGGGCCAGGTGTGGAAGGAAGGGACACAAATCATAAGTATGGTGTCTTAGTCAGCAGAGAGATTTAATAAAATCTGCTAAAATTATTAAAAAGTACTTATCCTATAAGGGCATATTTTTGGATTGTTATAATTATTGAGAGATAGAGTTAATTGACCACAAAGTGACTCCAGCTATTGCTATACATATTTTGTCAGAGTCAGAAGGTGATGGTCCCTTTAGAAAAATAAGATGCTGATGATTGCCATTTACACATAGAAATACAAATTATCACTATTCAAAATATGAAAAAGATAAAATCCTTAGACTGTACCAAAATAAATGTTTTTTATAACTTCCAATAGCAAAAACTTCAGAGTGTCTCTCTATAAAATTACGGAGTATTTTCTTCTTCCATAGGTAGTTTCTACATATATATCAATATTGCATGATTGCAAATATTTAGATATAAAAATTCCCGTAAAACCAACATTGCAATTTTGTTTTTAAAGCCATGTCTATTTTACTGCTCTTAAATGAATTACAAATGTTTAATTGCAGCTTGCACCAAATGACTCTGTGTTGAAAGCAGCATATAATTAAAGTTCTAAAATTGTTTTTCCTCATGTAATGCACGATGATATCTCAAATAACAGATCCTCTGAGGATAAAGTTGGACTTGGAATCTGGCCACGCCAGTGTTGAATTGGAAGCAGTGACGGATGAAGAGGAGGATGCAGTAGAATAATTTTAAATATATATATATATTTTTGTAGGAGTGTCAGAGCTTGAGCTGACATAAGACAAGAACCACATTCCCCTCTGCTCCAATTTTAAGATTCTGTTACTTGTAAATGGAGGAGTTGCCTGTCACCTTTGCACTGGCAAATATAGATTCTGTGCTACTGGGCAAAGAATCAGTTAAGGATAGGCAGGAATGACTTCTGTAAGAGCAAAGTGTTGAAAGTTAACTTGATCGAGGGGGAATAAATGATAATAGAAATAGCTCCCTCTTTTGAATATATACCTTGTGTCAAGCACTATGAGATAAGGTTGTTTATTTTTCTTAGTAAACTTTTGTGGATGCCATTATTTTCTCCCATTTTCTTATAAATTCAAAAAAATTCACTGAGGTTAAATAAGTTGTCTGAGCTTATACAACTATGAAATAAGTAACTGTGAAATAAGTAAGCTGGAAATCTACCCTAGATCTGTGCACTTTAAGAGCGCTTGCTTTTTTCTTTATACTATATGCTATAGGGTGTTAAGACCTAGAGTATATTATTAAGCTACCATATTATTTTTACTCAGTAATTTTCTCAAACTGAAGGGTGTCATTGTAATATAATCTTTAATAATGATTTTTCTGAGTCTTCAATATAGTACATTTTCATACATATTTCACTTATCTTCCAACCCTGAAGTTTAGTTATATTCACTATTGGGATGGCTATAACCTTCCCCTAAGACCAAAGACCTTGGTGAGTTAAATACGATCCTTTATGTCTTATATACTTTAGAAAGAAAAATAACCTTTTGTCCTCCCAGGTTTAAAATCTGCTTTTTTTAAACAAATGGAAGCCTTTAGAAACTTTCTGTCTTCAGATATGTGGTACAAAGTGAGAAACCCCTGGTCATTCCTGCCATGTTGTGTCTCTCCACAGGCTTCTGTAATCCCCATAACCTGATATCTTATCATTGCTGCTTCTTTCCCTCACCTGATGCTTCTAGGCATTTTCTAACAAGGATAGATGCACTTTATCTCATGCTATTTAAAATCCTTCAGCTATGCCTCATGAGATTCCTAATTACCAGCTCCCCTTTTTATGGTTTAAAGCTAAGAAAAAGTTATCCAGAAAAAGCCCACACAGCTAGCAAGATCATATCTGTTACTGACAGAGGTCAAACAATCACTGGAAATCTGGATATAACCCTGCCAATTAAGGAAAGGAGATTTATACATGAATATCAGTGGGGTTTAGATAATGACTAAATAGCCAAATCTTAAAGTCTGTTCAGAAACAAAAAAGAAAAGAAAAGCTTATATGAGATCTTGTCACTTAAGAAGAAAGAAAAAATTTGAGATGAAATACTATTGGTAATGTGGAGTTACCAAGAACACACTATTCTCATCTTCCAAACCCTTTGTTTTATATTATTCTACAGTTGAACCCCAGTGCAGGATAATAGGCAGTGTGGGCTAATGCAAAGAGCCCTTGCCTTGAAGTTTGAAAGTCCTGGGGTTGGGTTGCAGCTTCACCATATATTAACTTTGTGAAATAAATTCCTTATCTTTCTTGAGCCTCAGTGTGTTATAACAAAAGAGAGACGGTAAACCATGCCTTACCTACCTTACGAGAATTTGTGAAAATAAAAAAATGAGATAATATATAGTAAAAGACTTTGTTGATTTTAAGAAAGTGATTGCAGGAGTGACTACATAATTTGCCAGACCCAGTGCAAAATGAAAATTCAGGGCTCTTGTTCAAAGATAAGCAAGAATTTCAAGATGATGACAGCAGCATAGGATCGTTCTAAGCACAATGCCCTGTGTGACTGCACAGATCATAAGCCCACGAAGCCAGCCCTGAGTAGTAATAATTGTAGTACAGAATGTCTCTTTTGGCCTCTACTCCTTGTCCTACAGCTGCTACAAAAATTGAGTGTCCACACTTATCACTCTAGTGAGACTGCCTTATTTTTCTGATGTCCTGCTTGCTTGCGATACATTTTCTCTTAAAAATGAGTATGTAGGAGTGATACAGACAAATTTGAAGCTAGACTTAGTTAAATTAATACTAAGTGATAATATTATCATGACATTTCTGGTACATTAGAGGTTAAGCTTGATCCAGATGGCATCTGTCTAATGATATTAAATCATTGGTAATGGTTAAGTCTTTCCATGAGGAACTGAATTGGCTTTTGACCCTGAAGGTTTTAGAATACAGCCTATTCTTTGGTTGGGAACTTCCTGTGCTTCTCTCTAGGAGACCAGCTGCCATATTAGGAGAGAATGTGGTAGTACCTTGAAAAGTTCCAGTTAAGCTTTCTCTCTAAAGATATTGGATCCTTCCACAGGGAAATAATTAGGTATCCATTTGTGCCCAGAGCTGCCAAGAACACTAATAAAGTCACTGGAAAACAGAAAGTTGTGGTATGGACACAGAAGGAGATAAACAAGAAATGGAAAAAATCCAATAAGTTGATCCCCCTACGGGATGGTACAAAATTGTTTACTGCAACCTGAGTTTCTTTCCAGTCTACTTTTTAAATATTATTTCATAAGCTTCTTCTAGGTCAGGATGTTTTTTTCTTTCCATTCACGTGTTTTTCCTTTCAAGTATTTACAGACCTATTTGGTCCTTCTCAGGAACTTTAAAGACTAACTGTACAAATCTGATGTTTTTTTCTTACTCCATCAATCAACCATATGTCATCATCGCCATGGCTCATCATGGGACGCTCTCCTCTCTGTCACCTACTCTATGTGATTAAACTGCTCCAAAGAGGATGAAAAGCTTTTGGTTCTTCAGTTGTAGAGATCTGTGCATATCTCAGAATATTATTTTGAAACTGCCACAAAATGATATTGGCCTCTTTTTTTTTCCTGCAAAGTTTTATGAAGTAGTATACTCACTGGCTACCAGGCAAGATTAACTAGAAGAGATTGGTCAGCAGTCTGAAAATCAGAAAGTTCGAACAAGAAAACCATGCATTAGATTTTATAATTAAGAGACAAGTCTCATTAACCTCCCAGCTGATCAGCCCAGCCACTCTTGAGGCAAGGTTTCTGTGGGTGTGGGAGTAGTGGAGATGCATCACTGGGATCTCCCTTAAAGAAGGACTGTTCTTTAGCTGTGAAGGATGCTGTTAGCTAACAGCACTCAACTATAGAACTTCAAGATCTGCTATGGCCATTGGACCAAGGTCATCATCACCCTAGGCGGCTATCAGCCCATCACTGATCATGGTAGGGATATTAGGGCCTTGCCATTTCTGCCCAATGTGTACTCCTCCAATAGGCAGTCTTTTTCCAAAGCACCCTATCAGGTTGGCCTAAGCTTTATCAGACCTGCATCCTATCCTGAATCTTGCCCAGCTCAATTCTACTTCCTTCTCTCATCCGTTTCACAGATATCAGGTCTGTTAAGTGGTCTAAAGACTTTTCCTGCTCATTCTGCATCCTCCCTCTTTACCTTTACTTTTCACAAGAATTATACCAAAAGAATTCATTTAATTCTGAACAGACACAGGAGGAGTTGAAACTGACTTAGTGTGGGCACACAGTGGCATCCACTCAATGGAGCTTCTTTGGTAAAGCTCCACAATGGCCATCTCCATGAAGCCTGTAAAACCCATCAACCTCAACTAGGACCTGGTTTCTGTCATCACCTTCAATCTCAGACAAGCATGAAGGTGAAGGATGCAGGATCTGATTTCCTCGGCATTTACTGAAGGAGCAGGTAATACCACCAGACATAAGGAATTAATTGTCCTTGGTGTGAACAATGACTAGTGGGGGACAGGAAGCAAGAGGAAACCAGAGAGCAAATGACTCTTTCACCCCTTTCCTCTGGACTGTTTGGAAACACGGTGGCTCTAAACACCTTCCTTGCTTTTGTCTTTCTTTCTTTCTTTTTTCTTTAGAATTATTAGATTTTATTTTTCCCTAGAGCTCTTAAACTTTAGCTTCACCAAGTAACAGGTCGACTTTCGGAATAACAACTCTTTCCTAGGCTGTATCCCTTTCCAGGAGACAGAATTCATGAAATAACTTGGTTCCAGGATGTTTCCACCCCAGAATTCTAAACCAGTCACAGAATCATATCTTCTTCGGTCTTGATTAGAATCAAACAATCTATAGACAAATGTAACAGAATCAAAATAGTATATAATGTTTCTTTCCTTCTCTTGCTCAATACACTTCCCTCTTTTCCCCCAAAGAGTTCGTTACTCAAAGATGTATGAGTACAGTCAGCCCTCCATATCCATGGGTTCTGCATCCATGGGTTCAACCAACTGCCAATCAAAAATATCCAGAAAAAATATTCCACAAAGTTCCAAAAAAGCAAAACTTGAATTTGCTGAACACCAAGCACTATGTTGAATCCATGCAAATAAAATGTGTTCTACACACCTTTCTAAAGCTATCCAGCTAGACAGAGCAATCAATGGAACTTGCTACAAAGCTGTGGCCAGTTCAGTAACATACTCCCTCCTTTAGTGCCTTTTTTCTTTCCTTTTTAAATTATTTTATTTCATTTTATTTTTAGACTTGAGGGTACACGTGCAGGTTTGGTACAAGGATATATTGCACAATGCTGAGATTTGGGTTTCCAGTGATCTTATCACCCAAATAGTGAACATAGTACCTGATAGGTAGTTTTTCAACCCTTGCCCTTCTACTTTCCCTCTCCACTTTTGGAATCCTCAGTGTCTACTGTTCCCATCCTTGAGTCCATAGGTACTCCATGTTTAGCTTCCACTTACAAGTGAGAACCTACAGTATTTGGTTTTCTGTTTCTGTGTTAATTTGCTTAGGATAACAAGTGCTTTTTTTCCCTTTATCTCTGCTTTGCTGGAATAGCTCTCCTTAATAATGTGTTAACAGTAAGGTTTTGACTTAGTCTTTCTAGGGAAATTGGGCTGAGATAGGCATCACTGGATAGTTGCTATTATTATTGGTATTCCCCCTAACCGAGACTTTTTAAGTTACTACTTTATTCAGACCATCTTGCTATGCAACCCAGCATAACCTCTCTATTTGTTATAAAAGAGCAAATGGCTTATAACATTTTAGAGACATTCTAGCAGTTCTAGAAAGAGAAGGATTTAAAGACATCTGTTACCAACTAGCTATATATTTATATAACTGACTCTCAATCTGTTTAGGCATAGGGTGTTATATTATGGTTTAGAATTTGTATTAGTAGATTTTGATTGTAATTTTAAGCCTAAATTTTCTATTTTTTATTATATCCACAATATATAATGAGAATGAGCATCTTAAATGTCTTAGAGTTTGAACATTTTTTGTGGACATTTGTAGGCACTGAAGGTTGCAGAGCAATGAAACGATGTGATCAGAGTATAAAGCTTTGTGGAGATGAGCCTGGAAGTTGGTGGGATTTGAAACAAAGAGTCAATGTCCAATGTTAAAGGCTATGGACAGCTGGGCACTAGTAGTACAGTAGGACTCCTTAGACATGGGGAGGACCCCAAACAACTCTCTAATTTGGAAGTAAGTAAGAGGAGGGAAGCTGAAAAAATTTGATGAATGCACCCCAAGGATTCTCAGTAATTGTACAAATATCTACTCTTCATTCCCTAGTGATGAGATGAAGACAACCAGATATTTGAACATTTATTAAACACCTGACATCTGACCATGCAAATAATTATACATCCATAATCCCATTTAACCGTCTTTAAAAAAGTGACATGTAGGCAAATAAATGACCTTTGCTATTATCATTAATGTGTGTTTAAGATGTATTCTTGTCCTTAAATTGAGGAGTAAGTGATTCTAAAACCCTGATGCTCTCCATGGCTTTTAGAAATAAAAACTTAAATGTGTGACTAAAATTTGCAGGCATCTGCTGTACTTAAAGCGGAGCTAGATATTTGTGGAATCATTAGCTTTCTACTTGGCGTGAGACTTGCCCTAGCAGCTTTCATTATGAACTCAACTTTTCTAGTGGACACCAGGAAATACTTCTGATTGCTCAAATCTCTATCTGAATTTCCATTTAGCCCTCTTAACAATTTTTAAAGTATGCATTCTTACTCCATTTCATAGATGAGGAAAGCTCTACTCAAAGGGTTGAGTACTAAGTGTTGCACATCCCCTGTGTGACCAAATCAGAATTTAAACCAGAAATTTATGACTAATTCTTGTGCTCTCTACTCTACACCACACTGCCTGTCACAAATACTGACCTGCATGGTTGAAGACCCAGTGAGTGATAGAAACACAATTGGACCATACAAGGCAGTCTATAATCAAGATAACAGAACTGGTTGAAGATTTTCTTCTGTCTTCTCTTTTTTCTTACAAGTATGAGTAATGCCTATCTTTGACATGTCAAAAATAGGTTATTATCCAAAGAATCCTTGAACACTGTTTTTATGTTCCAGGACCAAGGCATCTGAACAATCTTGTTATAAAATGCAAGAAGAAATCATTGCAGTAACTATATATACTATTTCCAGATGTAAAGTTTTTCTTTATCAAGTGGTATTTGCTATCTTAAAACTCAGTGATGTTTTTTGGACTCGGAGTTGTTTCATCCATTTCTTCTTCAGCAGCAAGACCATTGTTGTGTATGGCACTCATGATGTCTTTACTTCAGTAAACTTAGGAAATGTTCTAAGCATGAGTAAAATTGTTTATAGGCTTGCCAGTGCAGCTGCGGGGGAGTTAAAGTAATTTACCATAGCATCATACTAAATGCAAATTTTACTAAAGTAATCAAAGAGTTAATAGGTTTAAACTGAGTTCTTTATTCTGTCAATAAAATTAACATGAGTTTATAAAACAGAGTGATTCTAACATGTTATTCTGTGATGTGCAGGAGCTTATACTTTTTAAAAAGAGTGGATAGGAAATGTTTCTTGGAAACATCTCCCTCTTCAGGAGGGGGCCTAATTCTCTCAACCTCTGCTGAAACCCATTACCAACTTTCCTCTAATTCCTGGCCCTAACATTTTACTACATCATTATTTAATAACATTGCAGATTGATTTTACTCTAAGCAAACCATAAAGATAAATTGCAAAACTGATTAGAGATGATTCCTTACTTTGCATGAATACTTGCTATACAGCGACTTCAAAGAGCTTATTGAAAATAAAATTCTCTCTGTAAAGACATCTGTTTTAATATATAAGCTTCTGGGAATATTAGCCATCCTTGATGCTCCAGTGATGCATACTTATAAATGAGTGCTCATAGCTCTTGGAGCTACTGGGGTGAGACCACACTAGGCATGAGCTGTGTTTACTCCCATCTTTACTGCTGGATTTGATATAGAATATCTTTTTTCTCTACAAACCATTATCTATTTTCAGAACTCAGTTGACTCTGTGGGGGTGGTAGCAGAGAAAGTGTACATGTGCAGAGAACATCTGTCTTTTTGCCTCACTGGAAAGTAAACTCCATGAAAGTAGGCTCTATGAATGGTTTTGCTGATTGTGGTATCCATAGGACCTAGCAGTACTTGGCACATGACAGCTGTTCAATAGAGGTCTGTTTAGTTTGTTTACTTGTTCAGTCATTTGTTATTTTATTCATGTAACATGTATTGAATGCTGGTCTAGGCACTGAAGAAGTTAAATGAAGTGTTAAAATATGTATATGTGTATGTTTGTGTGTATAAGTTTTCTACAGCTCCAGATCTACGCGTTTCTGATAAATTAGTAGCATTGATTCTGAAGGCAATAGTATAGGAATATTTGCTAGTTTAAGTTACTGATGGAGCTGTGATAACTATTACTATGTGGGTGAGGAAACCTCTTTTCTGATGTCAGAGGGAAGAATCTTTCTATTAGAAGTTAAATGTATTCCTAGAATATAATTTTAAAATGTAAATTAGTCTTTCGTTAGAAATAACATTTAAAAATTGCACTTAAAAATTTTAAGTCTAATAGTAGCAACATAAGTATATTAGTCTGTTCTCATGTTGCTATAAGGAAATACCCACGACTGGGTAATTTATAAAGAAAACAGGTTTGATTGACTCACAGTTCCACATGGCTGGGGAGGCCTCAGGAAACTTACAATCATGGCCGAAGGCACCTCTTTACAGGGCGGCAGGAGAGAGAGAGTGCCAGCAGGGGAAATGCCAGATGCTTATAAAACCATCAGATCTTGTGAGAACTCACTCACTACCACAAGAACAGCATGGGGGAAACTGCCCCCACGATTCAATTACCTCCCACTTGGTCCCTCCCACAACACGTGGGGATTATGGGGATTACAATTCAAGATGAGATTTGGGTGGGAACACAACCAAACCGTATCAGTAAGCTAGCAATATATGAATAGTAATATACTTAGTTTAGTGTAACAAAAAACCATTTAACTCACACTATGGCCCAAAATAATATAGCTTCCATTTCATACACTTTTCACTGGAAAATGTGTTCTGATTTTCTAATTTATTCATTTTTATATATCCAGCTTCATCCTTGCCACAGTATAGGTGCTTAAAATATATTTACTGAATGGTTAAGTTTCCAAATATGTGAAAAGTTATGACAAATCACTAAGAAAAAGAAAATCATCTTAATAGGTAAACTGCACAAGATATGAATATAACATCCAGTTCAAAAGAGAAAAATGTTTATTATATTTTTGTAGAAATGTAAAACATGCTAAATTTAAAAAATTTAGAAAGTTAAGACAATAAGTTTTCTCCCACTGAATTGACAAAGGTTTAAAGAGAATGAAAAGAATCATTGTGAGGTGTAAAGATATATAGTACAGTTATAAATAGCTTTGGGTTATGCATGTTGGCATAGTGTTTCTGGAAGACTATTAGGAAAAATATTTCATAAGCTTTATTAAGTATATGCCATTTGACTCAGCAATTCTACTTCTAGGAATTCATTCTTAAAGAGATTATCTGACAATAGGACTAAACTGTGTGTACAAGGATAATTTATAGCAATGAAATAGTCTGCCTCCAGACTGTCTTTAGACTCAAGACTACAACAATAAATTTGCCAGCTAGCTAGCCTGCCCCATAGATTTGTCTTGCCAATCCCTACAATCACATGAGCTAATTCTTTAAAATCTCTCTCTCTCTCTCTCTCTCTCTCTCTCTCTCTCACACACACACACACACACACACACACACACACACACACTCACCCCATTTGTTCTGTTTCTCTGAAAAACCTTGGCTAATATGGTACGGAGTTGTCAGCCAGGATGGATCCTTCTGGGGAGGATAAGCATCCCAGGCGTCTTGGGCTGGTTCCCTAGAAGGAGACCCTGAGAAGACTTGTGTGCCAGTGATTTATTAAAGAAGTGCTTCAGCGAGATCTTGAAATCAAGTGGGAGAAGCATGACAGGGAAGAGGAAGAGGCCAAACAAGGATGCAGCTTTACACAAAGTCCTAGCCCCTTCCTGGCATTGCAGGAGAGCTCTGGAGGATAAATTACACCTCAAAGTTTATCCTGAGTGGAGACAAGGGAGCCAGGTTTTCCAGCAATGGCACTATTAGTTAAGAACTGTTGGACACATAGAGGAGAACAACACACACTGGGGCCATTCAGAGGGTGGAGCGTGGGAGGAGGGAGAGGATCAGAAAAAATAAATGAGTGCTAGGTGTAACACCTGGGTGGTGAAATAATTTGCACAACAAAACCCCATGACACAAGTTTACCTATGTAAAAATCCTGCACTTGTACCCCTGAACTTAAAAGTTAAAAAGAGAAAAAACAAAAGAACTATCCCTAGGGGTAGGGGTGGTTGGTCAATATCCAGGCACTTCTGGATGCCTGTCTTTGCAGGCAAAGTGGCTTCTGTAGCCCAAGAGAAATCCTCCTGAGAGAGTCCCAGGTGTGGTGTCAGTGGCACAGACACACAGAAGCCAGAGGAGGGGCACACAGAAACTGTGAAAAGAATTGGAACTTATCTCTGTTATTAAGAGAGAGAACCAGAGAAATGTTAGTTAATAAGTGGATCATAGCCTTATTCTGATGCCACTGGAAACATGTTTGTTAGACTGCGCTGCTGGAACTCAACTGATTCATTAAACACAGATGGTTTTCTGTTCTGTTTTGTAAAGTGAGGCTCACCTGTAAAATTTGACATGTTTACAATAGTACTTTAATGACTTGGTAGTAGGCACTCTCTTCTTTTTTCGTCATCGTATCCACCTAGAGTTAGGAGTTCATTGCTATTGGCAAATAGTCTGTAAAATATAGAACTTTTTTTTTTCATCTCTACCTCACACTAATGGTGTTTAATGAATTTACCTTTGCTTAGCAGACATCAAAATAACTGAGCACTTTGCTTTGCTCGATGAAAATATCAGTTAGAAGGTTGCTTGGGGTAGGGAGCTAAGCCCTGGTTATGTAGGGTATGTATTTTCTGAGAACAGAAAGGCAAAAGTAGAAGTGTAGACCTGTGAACACAGTGTATGAACATTTCATTGGAGCAGAAGCCTGTACAGTGACAATTGGTGGTAAACAAACTGTGTTTAACTGGAAAAGGAGCATGAAGTTTAATATGTACAAGGTAAAAGTGATTCTTCCTTGCTAAACTAAAAAATACTGCCAACTCTAGAATTCCTGTTAAGATTTCCCCAGTAGTATTAATGTTCAACGCACCTGCCTGTTGTTTCTCTGAAGAACCTTGACTGATATGATAGTATGCTCTATTTATTAGGAACTTTGTGCTAGATATTATATGAGAGAGAAAAGAAGTGGAAAGATCAGTCTGCCTCTAAGAAATCCATAGCATAGGTGAGGACAAACATCTATCGGTTGGACCTATAAGAATAATAGCCATAAGTTATTTGGTGGGCTGCTATCTCTGCCAGGCATTGTACTAGGCATTTTGCTCCCATAACCTAATCTAATCTTCACTACAGCATTGCAAGTTATAAATTGCTATTCTCATTTTGAAATGAGGAAAATGAGGCTTAGACAAAATAAGTTCTTAGGATAAAATAACTTGTTACTGCTTGATTAAGGATTTGAATCTGAACCAAAGTCATCTTTTTACTAAGCTAACTGCTTAAGAATAGTGTCAGAAAGCTTGGCATCCAAATTAATCTGAGACTCAAAGAAACACACAAAGACCATTAGAAGTTAATTTTTAAAAAGCTGTGTTTGAAGCAAAAGGTCAATGAAGAAACAATCTGCTGATTAGGGCCACCATTATAATACTGAAAAGTGATAGGAAGAAGCAGAAGCCCTCAAGTTTTGTTTTGCGTTTGTCTTTACTATCAAATAGAGTGATCTTCAAATCATAGGAGGGTGAAACAAACGGTGGTTACTGAGAAATCTAAATCTATATAGGTAAAGATATTTTGAGACAGCACCTAACAGATTTAAATGAGCTCAGGTCTCCTGCTAGATGAAACATGCCCTTGAAGACTAGGACAACCTAAAACAGATCAATACTCATAGTCCCTTCCAGCACCCTGCATAATAGTGTGTATTTTAATTTATAGGTACATATATACTTCTATGGTTATGTCAAGAATTATTTTTCTATCTAGACTCTGAGCTCTAAGTGTGTTGTTTCTCCACCCCCTGCCCCAGTTCCTCTGGTAGCTAGTACCTCTGGTAGCTAGTGAGTTGGGACTCAGCCTATTTTCAAAGAACAAAGGAGCTTGCTGAATCCTTGTATGTGGCTTCTGAGAAATCAGTGAGAACTGAGGATGATAATGTCTGTCTGATTTTGAAAAAGATATTGATGGCAAATAGCCCTTTTAACAAGAAGTCACAAACTGGTGGCTTATAGGACAGACACATAAAGCTGTTAAGAATCTGTTGACTAGTACAGAAGAGGTTATTGAATCTGAGTACTTTTAGGGACATGTATCTTCTAGTTTATAAGTTTCCACCTCCCTCTGTTGTGTTCCCCAATTTTATCCCATGGGTAATTCTTGGTTGTATCTATGGTTTAGAATCCAATAGATTTTTAACATTGATCCTATTCAACGTTCTAGAATACATAATGGCAAGACTGGATGTAAGACACAGGAAATATAGTTTTCAATGAACTCCTTTCTGTGACACCATTTAGCAAAAGAATACAGTAAATTGGGACAGTGGAAACTAAATAATTCTATTAGTGATCTAGTGTAGACAGCATGTTTATTAATGATAGAAAGCACTGGTAAATCATGCTTACATCTAATTTTCCAATATGTTTCTAAATAATATACTTGTATACAGTATTTCTTAATTCATCAGTTGTATTTGGCATTTTCAGACTTTCTATTTTGAAGATATAGTACTCAGAATCAGAATAATATTCAGGATCTAATAACATATTGAGTGATTGGGGAAATAAATTTCTTAAAACAGAATAGAGACAGAAGTTAACCTCCCACAACAAGATGTCATAAAAACCCCCAGCAACTCTCCTACATGAAATATGGACATATTTAAAAATTTCTCTAAATTATCACCATCATTTCCACTCCTACTCAGTTTTTCCCATTCAGTCTGTTTAAGGATAGAGCATCTTAGGTTCTAAAGAGAAAGGTTGTATATTTCCTATCTTGTCACACTCATTTAAAAACAGTATACAGAGGAAATAATTTGAACAGTGTGCAGGGTTCTACTTCTATCTCACGATGAATATGATGATTATATTAGTATTGGGCAGAGACCTTGGTTTGATAAGAAATTGGTCTGTGTGATCTTGAAGAAATGATGTCTCTGAGCCTTTTCCTCCGAAATAAAGTTAATATTGCCTACCCTAAAGGGTTGTTGTGAGGCTCATATGAGATTGTATATAATGCCTACCCTATACTGAATGGTTTAGGGGCCAGCACTGCTCATCAGATACATTATTTTATGTATACTCCACAATAAATCTGGTATCAACTGGGTACTTTGTGGCCACTATAGTTCCAAGAAAAATCAAATCTCAAAATTTAAAATCCTCTTTGGATTTCTGCTAATTCCCAAGGATGTTATTTTTAAGGGCTATCTCAGACTAGTGGATCCTCCATTGGTTGCCAACTATGTTTTATTTTTATTTATTTATTTTTTATTATTATACTTTAAGTTTTAGGGTACATGTGCACAATGTGCAGGTTAGTTACATATGTATACATGTGCCATGCTGGTGCGCTGCACCCACTAACTCGTCATCTACCATTAGGTATATCTCCCAATGCTATCCCTCTCCCCTCCCCCCACCCCACAACAGTCCCCAGAGTGTGATGTTCCCCTTCCTGTGTCCATGTGTTCTCATTGTTCAATTCCCACCTATGAGTGAGAATATGCGGTGTTTGGTTTTTTGTTCTTGCGATAGTTTACTGAGAATGATGATTTCCAATTTCATCCATATCCCTACAAAGGACATGAACTCATCATTTTTTATGGCTGCATAGTATTCCATGGTGTATATGTGCCACATTTTCTTAATCCAGTCTATCATTGTTGGACATTTGGGTTGGTTCCAAGTCTTTGCTATTGTGAATAGTGCCGCAATCAACATACGTGTGCATGTGTCTTTATAGCAGCATGATTTATAGTCCTTTGGGTATATACCCAGTAATGGGATGGCTGGGTCAAATGGTATTTCTAGTTCTAGATCCCTGAGGAATCGCCACACTGACTTCCACAATGGTTGAACTAGTTTACAGTCCCACCAACAGTGTAAAAGTGTTCCTGTTTCTCCACATCCTCTCCAGCACCTGTTGTTTCCTGACTTTTTAATGATTGCCATTCTAACTGGTGTGAGATGGTATCTCATTGTGGTTTTGATTTGCATTTCTCTGATGGCCAGTGATGGTGAGCATTTTTTCATGTGTTTTTTGGCTGCATAAATATCTTCTTTTGAGAAGTGACCAACTATGTTTTAAAGAATGACAATTTCTTCTTTAGTTTCTTCATCAGAAATCACTCACACCAATCATTTTGAGTTTAAAATATGGTGCTGATGATTTTATAGTGTCACGGAGAAAATATATATGTGGCACAAAATTTCACCTTCTTGCTGCCTACTGACTCTTAACCACCCCTACAATTTTTTAAACCTTTTTTTCTTCTTAGATTTACCTAGAAATTTCAAATTGGTTTATTCTATTATGCAAAACAAATTCTCCTTTCTAAAAGTTTATGCATCTGATATTCAGGCTCTTGAGATCCCACCTTCCACGTCATCATTTGCAAATATAGTTTTTTAAAAAAGTAATGCTACATTTATCAATATAATACATTTATATAGTTAAAAAATCAAATAAGACTAATGGGTGCATTTAAAAAAATATATGGTCTTGTCCTATTTTTCCTTGTTCTTCAGTCGTACTCTGCTAATTTTATGAACTTCAGCTCTTTTTTGGTTTCTTCTGTAATTGTCCAGCATCTTTTAAAATATTTATACGTGTACCTCTGTTTCTTAATCTATCAATCTTAGTATTTTTAGAGTTGCTATATTGGTAGTTCAGGACCTTTCCATTTTAATGCACTCCCTCCACACATACACACATTATCTCTTACTGTTATCTCAGTATCAGTTTAACACAATTTTTAAGTAACTCAGTACCCAGTCTCCACATTATTGAATAGTTGAATATTATTTATTGCTGAGCCTAGTAGTATACTATTATTTTCTTTTCCAGATTTACTCCATTACTGTACTATTTTTATCATTCTTTTTTTTTTTTTTTTTTTTTTTTGAGACGGAGTCTCGCTCTGTCGCCCAGGCTGGAGTGCAGTGGCGGGATCTCGGCTCACTGCAAGCTCCGCCTCCCGGGTTCACGCCATTCTCCTGCCTCAGCCTCCCAAGTAGCTGGGACTACAGGCGCCCGCCACTACGCCCGGCTAATTTTTTGTATTTTTAGTAGAGACGGGGTTTCACCGTTTTAGCCGGGATGGTCTCGATCTCCTGACCTCGTGATCCGCCCGCCTCGGCCTCCCAAAGTCTATTTTTATCATTCTATTACTCTATTTTCCGTTTTTCCAAAGGCTCCAATAAATCTGTATTTTTTCAAATGTTAAAGCATAGGTAACACACATACAGGTTTTTTTCCCATCTGAAACGAGGCCTCCTATTCTTCCATCATTCTCCAATCTCAGCTGGTTACACTCTAGGCCTCATGATCAAAAGTCATCCTGGAATTTCCGTAATCTTCTTCAGTGCTCAATCCTATTTCTAAAATACTATGTTCTCCTCCTTTTCTTTTTCTTTCTCTCTTCCTCTTCCTTTTCCCCCGTCTCCTCCTCCTCCTTCTCCTCCTCCTGCTTCTTTTGTAGCTAACATTTTAAAAAATTAATTTTTATTTTTAATAGTTTTAGGATACAGCTCTTTTTTGTTGTTACATGAATAAATTCTTTAGTGTTGATTTTTGAGATTTTGGTGGACCCATCACCTGAGCACTGTACACTGTACCGAATAGGTAGTCTTTTATTCCTCACTCCTTTCCCATTCTTTCCCCCAGCAGCATCTGCAAAGAAGGATGCCATGTATTCTACTTTCTTAGTTTATTCCCTTATTTTGGTGAAGGTTATTTTTCAGCATCTGTCTAGAAAACAGTGCATGGGAAATAAATTTTTTGAATCTTTACATGCTTGAAAATGCCTTTACTTTATTCTTACATTTGATTGATAATTTGTCTAGAATAGTGTATAGATGGAGGAGCCAAGATGGCCGAATAGGAACAGCTCTGGTCTACAGCTCCCAGCGTGAGCGACGCAGAAGACAGCTTTGAAGAGAGCAGTGGTTCTCCCAGCATGCAGCTGGAGATCTGAGAACGGGCAGACTGCCTCCTCAAGTGGGTTCCTGACCCCTGACCCCTGAGCAGCCAAACTGGGAGGCACCCCCCAGCAGAGGCAGACTGCCACCTCACACGGCCGGGTACTCCTACAGACCTGCAGCTGAGGGTCCTGTCTGTTAGAAGGAAAACTAACAAACAGAAAGGACATCCACACCAAAAACCCATCTGTACATCACCATCATCAAAGACCAAAAGTAGATAAAACCACAAAGATGGGGGAAAAACAGAGCAGAAAAACTGGAAACTCTAAAAAGCAGAGCGCCTCTCCTCCTCCAAAGAAACGCCGTTCCTCACCAGCAACGGAACAAAGCTGGACGGAGAATGACTTTGACGAGCTGAGAGAAGAAGGCTTCAGACGATCAAATTACTCCGAGCTACGGCAGGACATTCAAACCAAAGGCAAAGAAGTTGAAAACTTTGAAAAAAATTTAGAAGAATGTATAACTAGAATAACCAATACAGAGAAGTGCTTAAAGGAGCTGATGGAGCTGAAAACCAAGGCTCAAGAACTACGTGAAGAATGCAGAAGCCTCAGGAGCCGATGCGATCAACTGGAAGAAAGGGTATCAGCAATGGAAGATGAAATGAATGAAATGAAGCGAGAAGGGAAGTTAGGGAAAAAAGAATAAAAAGAAACGAGCAAAGCCTCCAAGAAATATGGGACTATGTGAAAAGACCAAATCTACGTCTGATTGGTGTACCTGAACGTGACGGGGAGAATGGAACCAAGTTGGAAAACACTCTGCCGGATATTATCCAGGAGAACTTCCCCAATCTAGCAAGGCAGGCCAACGTTCAGATTCAGGAAATACAGAGAATGCCACAAAGATACTCCTCGAGAAGAGCAACTCCAAGACACATAATTGTCAGATTCACCAAAGTTGAAATGAAGGAAAAAACGTTAAGGGCAGCCAGAGAGAAAGGTCGGGTTACCCTCAAAGGGAAGCCCATCAGACTAACAGCAGATCTCTTGGCAGAAACTCTACAAGCCAGAAGAGAGTGGGGGCCAATATTCAACATTCTTAAAGAAAAGAATTTTCAGCCCAGAATTTCATATCCAGCCAAACTAAACTTCACAAGTGAAGGAGAAATAAAATACTTTACAGACAAGCAAATGCTGAGAGATTTTCTCACCACCAGGCCTGCCCTAAAAGAGCTCCTGAAGGAAGCACTAAACATGGAAAGGAACAACCGGTACCAGCCGCTGCAAAATCATGCCAAAATGAAAAGACCATCGAGACTAGGAAGAAACTGCGTCAACGAAAGAGCAAAATAACCAGCTAACATCATAATGACAGGATCAAATTCACACATAATAATATTAACCTGAAATTTAAATGGGCTAAATGCTCCAATTAAAAGACACAGACTGGCAAATTGGATAAAGAGTCAAGACCCATCAGTGTGCTGTATTTAGGAAACCCATCTCACATGCAGAGACACACATAGGCTCAAAATAAAAGGATGGAGGAAGACCTACCAAGCAAATGGAAAACAAAAAAAGGCAGGGGTTGCAATCCTAGTCTCTGATAAAACAGACTTTAAACCAACAAAGATCAAAAGAGACAAAGAAGGCCATTACATAACGGTAAAGGGATCAATTCAACAAGAAGAGCTAACTATCCTAAATATATATGCACACAATACAGGAGCACCCAGATTCATAAAGCAAGTCCTGAGTGACCTACAAAGAGACTTAGACTCCCACACATTAATAATGGGAGACTTTAACACCCCACTGTCAACATTAGACAGATCAACGAGACAGAAAGTCAACAAGGATACCCAGGAATTGAACTCAGCTCTGCACCAAGCGGACCTAATTGACATCTACAGAAGTCTCTACCCCAAATCAACAGAATATACATTTTTTTTCAGCACCACACCACACCTATTCCAAAATTGACCACATAGTTGGAAGTAAAGCTCTCCTCAGCAAATGTAAAAGAACAGAAATCATAACAAACTGTCTCTCAGACCACAGTGCAATCAAACTAGAACTCAGGATTAAGAATCTCACTCAAAACCGCTCAACTACATGGAAACTGAACAGCCTGCTCCTGAATGACTACTGGGTACATAACGAAATGAAGGCAGAAATAAAGATGTTCTTTGAAACCAACGAGAACAAAGACACAACATACCAGAATCTCTGGGACGCATTCAAAGCAGTGTGTAGAGGGAAATTTATAGCACTAAATGCCCACAAGACAAAGCAGGAAAGATCCAAAATTGACACTCTAACATCACAATTAAAAGAACTAGAAAAGCAAGAGCAAACACATTCAAAAGCTAGCAGAAGGCAAGAAATAACTAAAATCAGAGCAGAACTGAAGGAAATAGAGACACAAAAAACCCTTCAAAAAATTAATGAATCCAGGAGCTGGTTTTTTGAAAGGATCAACAAAATTGATAAACCGCTAGCAAGACTAATAAAGAAAAAAAGAGAGAAGAATCAAATAGATGCGATAAAAAATGATAAAGGGGATATCACCACCGATCCCACGGAAATACAAACTACCATCAGAGAATACTACAAACACCTCTACACAAATAAACTAGAAAATCTAGAAGAAATGGATAAATTCCTGGACACATACACTCTCCCAAGACTAAACCAGGAAGAAGTTGAATCTCTGAATAGACCAATAACAGGATCTGAAATTGTGGCAATAATCAATAGCTTACCAACCAAAAAGAGTCCAGGACCAGATGGATTCACAGCCGAATTCTACCAGAGGTACAAGGAGGAACTGGTACCATTCCTTCTGAAACTATTCCAATCAATAGAAAAAGAGGGAATCCTCCCTAACTCATTTTATGAGGCCAGCATCATCCTGATACCAAAGCCGGGCAGAGACACAACCAAAAAAGAGAATTTTAGAGCAATATCCTTGATGAACATTGATTCAAAAATCCTCAATAAAATACTGGCAAACCGAATCCAGCAGCACATCAGAAAGCTTATCCACCATGATCAAGTGGGCTTCATCCCTGGGATGCAAGGCTGGTTCAATATATGCAAATCAATAAATGTAATCCAGCATATAAACAGAAACAAAGACAAAAACCACATGATTATCTCAACAGATGCAGAAAAGGCCTTTGACAAAATTCAACAACACTTCATGCTAAAAACTCTCAATAAATTAGGTATTGATGGGACATATTTCAAAATAATAAGAGCTATCTATGACAAACCCACAGCCAATATCATACTGAATGGGCAAAAACTGGAAGCATTCCCTTTGAAAACTGGCACAAGGCAGAGATGCCCTCTCTCACCACTCCTATTCAACATAGTGTTGGAAGTTCTGGCCAGGGCAATTAGGCAGGAGAAGGAAATAAAGGGTATTCAATTAGGAAAAGAGGAAGTCAAATTGTCCCTGTTTGCAGATGACATGATTGTATATCTAGAAAACCCCATTGTCTCAGCCCAAAATCTCCTTAAGCTGATAAGCAACTTCAGCAAAGTCTCAGGATACAAAATCAATGTACAAAAATCACAAGCATTCTTATACACCAACAACAGACAAACAGAGAGCCAAATCATGAGTGAACTCCCATTCACAATTGCTTCAAAGAGAATAAAATACCTAGGACTCCAACTTACAAGGGATATGAAGGACCTCTTCAAGGAGAACTACAAACCACTGCTCCAGGAAATAAAAGAGGATACAAACAAATGGAAGAACATTCCATGCTCATGGGTAGGAAGAATCAATATCGTGAAAATGGCCATACTGCCCAAAGTAATTTATAGATTCAATGCCATCCCCATCAAGCTACCAATGACTTTCTTCACAGAATTGGAAAAAACTACTTTAAAGTTGATATGGAACCAGAAAAGAGCCCTCATCGCCAAGTCAATCCTAAGCCAAAAGAACAAAGCTGGAGGCATCACGCTACCTGACTTCAAACTATACTACAAGGCTACAGTAACCAAAACAGAGATATAGACCAATGGAACAGAACAGAGCCCTCAGAAATAATGCCGCATATCTACAACTATCTGATCTTTGACAAACCTGAGAAAAACAAACAATGGGGAAAGGATTCCCTATTTAATAAATGGTGCTGGGGAAACTGGCTAGTCATATGTAGAAAGCTGAAACTGGATGCCTTCCTTACACCTTATACAAAAATCAATTCAAGATGGATTAAAGACTTAAACATTAGACCTAAAACCATAAAAACCCTAGAAGAAAACCTAGGCATTACCATTCAGGACATAGGCATGGGCAAGGACTTCATGTCTAAAACACCAAAAGCAATGGCAACAAAAGCCAAAATTGACAAACGGGATCTAATTAAACTAAAGAGCTTCTGCACAGCAAAAGAAACTACCATCAGAGTGAACAGGCAACCTACAAAATGGGAGAAAATTTTCGCAACCTACTCATCTGACAAAGGGCTAATATCCAGAATCTACAATGAACTCAAACAAATTTACAAGAAAGAAACAAACAACCCCATCAACAAGTGGGCAAAGGATATGAACAGACACTTCTCAAAAGAAGACATTTATGCAGCCAAAAAACACATGAAAAAATGCTCATCATCACTGGCCATCAGAGACATGCAAATTAAAACCACAATGAGATACCATCTCACACCAGTTAGAATGGCAATCATTAAAAAGTCAGGAAACAACAGGTGCTGGAGAGGATGTGGAGAAATAGGAACACTTTTACACTGTTGGTGGGACTGTAAACTAGTTCAACCATTGTGGAAGTCAGTGTTGCGATTCCTTAGGGATCTAGAACTAGAAATACCATTTGACCCACCCATCCCATTACTGGGTATATACCCAAAGGACTATAAATCATGCTGCTATAAAGACACATGCACACGTATGTTGATTGCGGCACTATTCACAATAGCAAAGACTTGGAACCAACCCAAATGTCCAACAATGATAGACTGGATTAAGAAAATGTGGCACATATACACCTTGGAATAGTATGCAGCCATAAAAAATGATGAGTTCATGTCCTTTGTAGGGATATGGATGAAATTGGAAATCATCATTCTCAGTAAACTATCACAAGAACAAAAAACCAGACGCCACAAATTCTCACTCATAGGTGGGAACTGAACAAGGAGAACACATGGACACAGGAAGGGGAACATCACACTCTGGGGACTGTTGTGGGGTGGGGGGAAGGGGGAGGGATAGCACCGGGAAATATACCTAATGGTAGATGATGAGTTAGTGGGTGCAGTGCACCAGCATGGCACATGTATACCTATGTAACTAACCTGCACATTGTGCACATGTACCCTAAAACTTAAAGTATAATAATAAAAAAAAGAAAAATAAATAAAATAAAATATTTGCCTGAACTACTGAAAAAAAATAGTGTATAGATATCATTTGGCTGGAATAGTGGCCACTGAATACCTCTCAGTCATCCTTTCTATACTTTTATGGTTCCCTATTTTGTGAGTTCTGTCTTTCCAAGGTGTGATGCAGAATATATTTTTCACGAGCCTCCTTTGCAACTATTGTGCAGTTATGTGACTTCAGCCAATAAGACAAACTATATACACGATTTCCACTAAGAAACACATAGCTTGAGCTTTGAAAGGGGCAACAGTTTTGCTGGTGAAGATTCAGTGGCAGCAGTTTTATAGGTGCTGGTAGCAAGAATAGTTGTGATGAATTCTAGTGCAAGGTCGGTGGAGGAATAAAGTTTTCTCACTAGCGTGGTCCTGCAGCATGGCTCTGGGCCTTGGCACTGGAAGCCTGATCTTGAGTTTATTTCTCCAGCCCTCCCAAAGAGTCTATATTAATTTCTCATGGCTTACAGTGTGCATTTCTTTGTTTGCAACTAAGGCTGATACAGCTAGCATAGAATTCTAGACTGAGAATAATTTTGCATCAAAAGTTGAGAGATTTTGCTCCATTATCTTCAAATATCCAGTGCTGCCATTATCATGAGATGCCCATTATTTTCTTTTTTAAAATTTTTATTTTACTTTAAGTTTTGGGATACATGTGCAGAATGTGCAAGTTTGTTACATAGGTATACATGTGCCATGGTGGTTTGCTGCACCTATCAACCTGTCTTCTAGGTTTTAAGCCCTGCATGCAGTACGTATTTGTCCTACTGCTTTCCCTCCCCTTTCCCCCAAACCCCTGACTGGTGTCGGTGATGTTCCCTTCCCTGTGTCCATGTGTTCTCATTGTTCAACTCCCACTTAT